>NT_187576.1:900000-985506 GCF_000001405.40 Homo sapiens
TAAAGGAATATATCGAGAATCAATTGCCAATTTACAAGTATTCAATGACCCCGACTTCACATAATATTAAATTATTAATTCTGTGGAAATAATATTTGCTTTTCTTTGGACATAATTGGTTTGTGTTTTACACATGTAATGAAGCTGTTTCTGACTTTTCCCATCTTCCATTTTTTATTCATAAGATTTTTACGTCACAGTTTCATAACCTTTAACGTTTATTCATTCAATGAATATTTACTGCACAACTACATACACTAAGCCAGGCACATTAAATAATTATATCAGGTGACAGTAACCAGATCAGTAACATAATTATAGAGTGTAGTAAATTTAAAAATAGGCAGTAAGCACTCTGTGAAAGCAGACAGAAACTAAGGATATTCTGCTTATGGAAAAGTGGGTAGAAAATTCCTACCTGAGAATATGACACTTCAGCTGAGAACTAAAGGATGACAAAATATTAACCGCACAAAGAACTCAAGAGTAGGATGTTTTGAGACAAGAAAACAGCAACTCGAAAGGCAAAGAAGTATAAGCGACTTTGGCACATTGTAGGCATCAGGGAAATAGGACTGAATATCTAAATTAAGGAGAAGAGGCCAAATATAAAACTTGAAAGAATTCTCGATCAACAGTTCTGGGGTTCAAATATTTTCCATTTCCCTGCTGGTAGCCATGGATAATGCATTTAGCCATGGATAATTCATTTCAATTTCAGTTTCCTGACACATAACACAGGGTTGTCAAGAGCCTGTACCTTGCGCCGGTGCCATGAGAAATTCAGGAGGTGATGCTTGTCACGTGCCCGCCACAAGGCTGAGCATGAGATAAGGAATCAGACTCCGATGAGGTGAAGGAGTGCATAGGATGACCGTGGAAAGACAAGAAGTGACCCCATTGCACGGCACTGGGAGTTTAGTCAAATGGAGGAAGAGGTCCCTAAGCAAATTCAAGTGGAGGGATTTCACGGTTTAACTTTGGTTGCAAGATGACTCTATTGGCACTGTGGACCATGGTCTAGATGAGGAGATGTTGAATGCAATATTCTGAGATGTATGAATGACTGTAAGAAAGGGGAAACTGAAAGAAGCAAATCTTTAGGGAAGGCCTGACCTTGAAGGAGACTGTAGAAAAGAACAGTAGAAACGGAGGCAGAAGGTAATAAGTTGTCTCTGTACATATGGAAAATAACTTTTAATTTAGCGTTTCTAATAATATTATTTTTTTCATAACTGTCGTTTCCAGAGATGCAAAAAATTATCATGCTAATTTAAAAAAAAATTACAGATATCTGGGATAAATCACATGCTGAGAGAAAAAAATAGTCTTTTTTCTCTTTTTTCTTTATCAGGTATATATAAGATAAACCTTAGAAAACATAAAACAAGCCTCTCAAATAACAACCTTAATTGTTTAAAATGATCTCCTTGACGTTACCTATTTGCAAGTGACTTATTATTATTATTTGAGACAATGTCAACTGGCATATTCAAAGTAAGGCTTTAATTGATGAATTTAAAATGAAATAAGTTGTTGTTTTTTTTAACTATTACATAAATGTTACTGGGAACTGCAGGAGTCTTTGGTTATTAGTCTTACTTGGAGAAAGCTTTCTGCCAAGCGACTGATTTAGCCAAAAAAAGAGAATTGATTGAAGGAAAATAGGGAGCCCCAGCGCGCTCTGCAAGGGTGAGGCAGAGAGGGCTGCTGAGGGGCGTGAGCCCGCAGCCCCCCAGAGCGCTGCGTTTTCTGCGTCGGGTGTTGATGACGTGGAACTAACGCTTCCTTGAAGTTCCCGCCTCTGCCTTAAGTCTCCACCTTTGTTCTTTGTCTAGTTTTACAGTTATGGCCTTAAGTCCCCTCCTTTTTCCTGCCTATTCCCCACCCCAGGCTTGTGGGACCCGCCTTTACTGTCAGTCAGTGCGCATGCGTGGCCGGGTATCGGACAGGAACTGCACCAGCGTTATCTCCTAGGAAGTTCTTCTTTGCCGTTTTCCGCTTATCAGCGTGCATCTGGCGATATTTTGACAGGTTACCTGCAGAGTGAGTGATCACTGGGCCTCTCAAGGGACATTCCTTCCTGCCTAGGTATTTCCCTTCCTCCCTCTCATACCCAGCGTGCAGACTTCAGGTAGTCCCTGGGGTATGAAGTTTTCCAGACCTCCCTTTTCTCAGGGGTCGCCCTCTCCTGCTCATGTGTGGCTGTCTGCCTAATCTAACACTAATAATACAATACATATAAAAATATATGTTTACAAGACAGCTAGATTCTCAGTCAAAATGTACAAGTGAAGACTCCGGATGTTTGAATTTGTTCAAAGAAGTTAAGAGCCCCAGAATAAAATCAAGTAAATGTAATATTTTTTCATATTTTAGTTCACAAATTAAGTCAGAGATATGCAGGCTTATCTCCTATTTAAACACTGTACTGAGACATAGATCTCTATCCTCAGCCGGTGTGGGTAGGGCCACACTATGGTCTTTGTTTCTAGCATCATATAAATAGCCATCAAGGTAGCCAGGGTTTTCTGTGAAATGTCGGGTCTACAAAGATCACTTGAGACACAGCTCTGAGGGTGATTGTTCCATGACACATGGTGAACAGAAGAGAATGTCACAAAGTAGGTGAGGTAGGAGTGCTTGAAGAAGCTGGACAGGGCCATAAAGTTGTTCTGCTAGAAGCCAGCGTGGAAGATTGCTCTAAGAAGGTTGGGGTGATTAAGGGAGATCAGTGATAACCTTGGTAAGAGCAATTTCTATGAAATGGTAAGGATATTCAGTTTTTCGTTTGTTTTATTATTATTTTTTAAGATAGGGTCTCACCCTGTCACCCAGGCTGGACTGCAATGGCATGAGCTCAGCCCACTACAACCTCTGCTTCCTGGGTTCAAGCGATTCTTCTGCCTCAGCCTCCAGAGTAGCTGGGACTACAGGTGCGTGCCACTACACCTGGCTATTTTTTGTATTTTTAGTAGAGATGGGATTTCACCATGTTGGCCAGGCTGGACTTGAACTCCTGGCCTT
Organism: Homo sapiens; assembly: GCF_000001405.40. Lineage (NCBI taxonomy): Eukaryota > Metazoa > Chordata > Mammalia > Primates > Hominidae > Homo > Homo sapiens. The sequence continues at coordinate 903,028 of NT_187576.1, forward strand.
GAGTGATCTGCCTTGGCCCCCCAAAGTGCTGGGATTACAGGTGTGAGCCACTACACCTTGCTGCCAGTTTTTAGTTTCTTAGTAATTGTGGGAAATTAATACATGAAGACACTGAATATTGACAATTTTAAAAAGTTTGGTTACTTCAAGGATGAGACAGAGTTGAATCTGTTTAACACCTGATTAAAAAGATCCAAAGAAAAGAATGGGGAAAAAGTAGAGATTACAGAAGAGAATAATGCATAACAAATTGTAGTCTGCAGTAAAACGCTCTGTAACCTATATTCACCTAGTACAACTATCACTACATTTCACATAGTCTGCAAGTCTTATAGATTCCTATAAGAAAGAATTAACAATTAAATGTTTCTGTCTTCCTTAAAATTTCATAGACATATCCTAAAGGTTAAGAGAGTCCAATTATTTTATGTATGCAATCTTGTAATACAGAAATATAAAAATTAATTACAAAATGACAATGTTAAAATAATTATTTTAAATTGTCAGTTTTCAATAGAGTAACTGAAAGAAAAAAAGAACATATTTTTAGGCTGTAATTAAAATTTTATGACATCTAGTTTCTGACCTTAACAACTAAGATATTGTAGAGTGTTTTTTAAAAAAAAAAAAACAGTCCAAAACCTCACAGGTATCCTCTAAATTTCGAAAGGAGATAGACTATTTCTTTACCAGAGAATATAATATTCAACAGAAATACTAGCACCAAGTCTGCAGCTGGCTGATAAGAAGGACAATGAGAGCAATACAGCTCAAAGTGGTTCCAGGGAATATGAACTACTTAAACCGAACACAATATAAAATCTCAAACTCTGTCAGCACATCATGAGAAAATTATTTTAGAATGCATATGCAGAGGAATTAGAGAATAAGGTTGATGTAATGTGGAAACTAACAAAATTCAGGAGTGTAGGACAAGGTTCAAGTATCTTAAAGTGATGCCTGTATTGTCCAAATATTGCCATTGTTGTTAAATAACTTGAAGCAGTGATGTGACTGTGAAATTGGAAGTGAAATCAAGTCAAGTAAATATATTCAGCAGGGCATTTTCATGGAGGAGTATGTCCTTGGGAAAAGTAAGATATTCAGGTTAAATAGAAGATGCTGTTATTGAAATCATTCTCATTTTAAGACGCAATTACTCAGCTACCATGTGTTATCTAGATTTATTCATGGCTTCCTGGGTAGAAGTTTAAACTAAATACTTGAGTAGAATGTAATCTTGAAATATTTATATGTTCAATGTGACTAACAGTTGAGAGCTGCTTCAACAAAGCCTTTCCTAGAAATTTAACCTTGGTAACTGTGCTGCTAAAATACAGACAGTTCTATAAAAAAATAGTTTTGTAAAGGAAAGTGTCTCATTATTATTTACTATCAGGAGAAAATCTTTCTTTTATTTGCCAACTCCTCATATTTGTGTTCAAATTTAGGGACCTATTTGAAATTATATTTTATTTTATATTAGAAATTGCTTGTTTCAGGAGCTAATTTGTGAACAGAGATATTCAGATTTTACTTATTAAATAATAGTATTATAAGTGGTAGAATAAGGACCCATAGAAAATTCTCTCCCCCATAAAATCATGAGAATACTGATAAAGCTTGAGAAAACCAACATTTTCATGCTGTATTCCATCACCTCCTCCATCTCCATGGTATCCTCAACAAACTCTCCAATGATGGTGAAAACTAGGAGCTACATTGCCTCAAAAAGAGTGAGAACAGAGTTGAAACTCTTTTGCCTGATAGTTCTCTGGAAAACCCACTGCAGGCCTTGTCAATTAGTTGACCTGACTCAGTGTCTCCAAGTATGAAGACCCTCTCTTTAAAGGAATTTGTGAAAACAATTAGTGGCAATTATTTAACATTACATCTGCCTGAGACAGAGAAAACAGTTGAGAGCAAAAATGCAACATAAATGAAAAACTTAAAAGGAAAAGCTGGAAAATGAAATTTTCATGGGAACTTAGAAAAGCTCTGACATATTTGGTAATGTAAACACATGTCTATGCAAAATGTTGTGTGCGTGGTCAGGAAAGACCTGAGAAGTCTCTCACCTCTGGCTGAACTTGAGGCTCAGCGCAAGAAGAAAGGAAAGGTGAAGGTAAGTTGTAAACTGTCCAACAAGGAGTTGAAGGCATGCCTCAACATTCATGCAGAACTCTGTGGCAAAGACTGGGACACTTAATGTTTTCAGGTATTTGAGGAAATCTACCCTATCATAAGCTGACTTTAAGCTACTCTAGCAGTCTTCAGTGGCTACATACAACAAAGAGTACAGGCTGCACAGAATTATTTCGGAAAATTCACTAAACAAACTTCAAGAACAGCAAACTTGAAGGAGAGGAAGTGAATCCTATCAACTAAATTTTCCTATCATATTATTTATGTCTCTTTTCAACAGAAAATTTTGAGACAATAAACAGAAAAAAATGTGTATATACAAGGAAAAAAGGAATATGTAGAAAGTGTCTACAAAAAAGCCCCTACTTTGGATTCATAAAGCACCAATTTTAAATCAGCTGTTTTTCATTTCTTTAAACAACTAAAGGAAATCATGTCTAAGAAAGTAAAAAAACATATGTCAAAAATATCTCATCAAAAAGAGAATATCAATAAAGAAACATAAATTTTATTTTTATAAAAAAGCCAAATATAAATTCTAGTGTTAAAAAGTATAATATGTGAAATGCAAATTTCACTATGAGAGCTTGACAGCAAACTTGAGCTCGCAGAAGACAAAAAAATCCATGAGTTTGGAGGTAGGTTTTTTGGTATTGATTATCCAGTCTGAGGAACAAAAAATAATACTAAAACGAGAAATGAGCAGAGCCTCAGGGGCCTATACAACAACATCCAACGTACCAACATATGCATAATAGATTCCCCAAAAGAAGAGAAGAGAGAGAAGAGGGGAAGAATAAATATCTTTTAAAAATGGCCAAAACCTTGAAAATAAAATACAAAATATTAATCTTACATGTAAGAAGCACAGTGAACTCCAAGTGGATAAATTTAAAGAGATCCACACCTAGATGCATCGTAAAATTGTCCAAAGACAAAAACAAAGAGTAGCGAAATCAACAAGTGAGACGCAACTCATCATGTATGAGAGAGAGTCAAAAGATAAACAGCTGATTTCTCACCAGAAGCAATAGGGGCCATAAGAAAATGGAATGGCATATTCAAAGAACTGAAAGAAAAACACTAGTCAACTAAGAATTCTATATCCTGCAGAACAGACCTTTAGAAATAAAAAAGAGATTAGAACACATTCAGTTAAACCAAAAAAAATAAAAGAGGATTTGCCTCTTGCACACTCTGTTGTATAAGAAATACCAAAGATAGTTCTTCAGACAGAAGTAGTAGAATGCCAAAAGGAACTCAAATCCACATGAAATGATGAGCAATGGTGAAAATAATTACATAGGTAAAAATAACAGAGATTTAAATGTATTTTGTTTTATGGTAACACTTTTTTCTCCTACCTGATTTAAAATACTACCACATAAAACAATAACAATAAAGCTGTGTTGATGGAATTCAGTGTACAAGAACATAATTAGTATAACAATAACATAAAGGAGGTTAGAGGGAATTGAGCCACGTAGGAGCTCAGGTTTTGTATACTAATAAAATTTAGTTGGCGGTAATTCAAACTGGATTATTATAAGTTAAATTGTTAGGTGTAATTCCAAGGCAAACAGTAATAAAATTACTCAAAAAAAAAATAGGAAAAACAAAGATAACAAGTTAGTACACTATTAAACATTCACTTAACACACAAGAAGGCTGTGAGGGGGGGACGAAAGAAGCAAAAACACATAAGACGTATAGAAAATGGCAGATGTAAATTCTGCCTTATCAATAATTATATTAAATGCAAATTGACCAGTCTTTAATCCAGTTTGAGTTGATTGTTGTGTAAGGAAGGGGTCCGGTTTCATTTTTTTTTTTGCATGTGAACATTAACGTTTCCCAACATCACTCATTGAAGAGACTATCCTTTCCCCATTGTGTATTCTTGACAATTTTGTCAAACTTACAAAACATACATGCATACAAAGGACATAAGGAAACTTTTGGAGGTAATGGCTATGCCTATTATTTTGATTGTGGTGAAGATATTACAAGTGTTTGCCTATGTCCAAAATTATCAAATTATGCATATTAAATATATGCCATTATTTGTATATCACTTATATTTAATAGAACTGTTAAAAATGTAAATAAACTAAAAACAACATCAAAAAGCAGAGATCAGCAGAATGGATAAAAACATAGTTCAACAATCTGCTAGCTACAAAAGATGCATTTTGGCTGGGCGTGGTGGCTCATGCCTGTAATCCCAGCACTTTGGGAGGCCAAGTTATGCAGTGTTATGAAGTTAATAAAAATATGTCTAAAGCTTCCTTTTTATACATGTTGTATATGTCGTGGAAGTTACCAATCAAACTGGTTTGCAAAGCATCTCACTTCAGCACTGCAAACATTTATTTTTCCAGGTTAATATTTGCAAGGCTTCAGAGCATACTTTCCTATGCATTCATTCTCTTTGCCTTCCCGACCTGAATTCCAATTTCCTCCAACACTGGGCACTCCTTTAGTCAAAAGGTGAGATTACTACTTCTCTCCCAGGACACCTTCACGTAAGCATCACACGGACTACCGGGATCCCCTGGACCAACCACCTATCAGATCTACCGTTAAAGGACATATGTCATCCTGCAACTAGCCCCAGAAGAAAATCCTCAGTTTCTCTGTGCTTATTTTTAACCTCATTCTCCACCAGTGGCACATGTGGCTGAAAACAACCATAATGCTTTCAAGGAGGATAGGATTTTTTTCTTTCTCCTTTCTGTTTATTTTTCCCTACTCTAATATATTTAAATCATTTTGCTGACAGTTACTCATTTTCCTACACTGCTTTTTTCCCCCCTCAACACATCTGTGAATATATTTTAAAATACAGAGATGTAGCATATTTTCTGATATGGTTTGGCTGTGTCCCCACCCAAATCTCATCTTGAATTGTAGCTGCCATAATCCCCACGTGTCATGGGAGGGATCCAGTGGAAGGCAATTGAATCATGGGAGCAGGTTTTTCCCCATGCTGTTCTTGTGACAGTGAATAAGTATCACAAGATCTGATGGTTGTATTAAGGGCAGTTCCCCTGCTCATTCTCTCTTGCCTGCTGCCATGTAAGATGTGCCTTTGTTCCTCTTTCACCATCTGTCATGATTGTGAGGCCTCCCCAGCCAGGTGGAACTGTGAGTTCGTTAGACCTCTTTTTCTTTATAAATTACCCAATCTTGCGTATTTCTTTATAGCAGTATGAAAATGGACTAATACATTTCCATTCACAGTTTACTTGAAGATAGGGGTCCTCAACGTGGTCTACACAGATCACACATATCAGCATTATTTGGCAAGCTGTTAAAAATGCACATCTGTTGCACCCAAGACCTATAGGATTCATCTAAAATCCTATTGGGTCAGAAGCCCTAGGTTGGGCCCAGCTCTCTGTCTCAGCAGTTCGTTCAGGTCTTCTTTGGCTCACTCACATGTGAGAGCCTCTGCTCCAAAGTTATAATTCCCAATCCACCTTAGCAAATGGAGGTTCCCTTCCTCCTTATCATAGTACTGTGAATTACACAATGGTGATTTTTCTAAAGATTTTCCCATTTATAAAGATAAAACTGGGGCTCTGCTGTTTTGTGACTTGTCCAGATGAACTAGTTGGGATTTTGGCTGAAGTTGCACCTCCTGGGCCATTGTTCTCTGTATTGTAAATCAAAGGCTCATAGGAAAGCGTAGTATAATTCTCATTCACTCTGGCATATCCCCAGGATTCATCTAAAATCGTCCTGTTTTGACCTCCTAGAAAGGTCATGCTATTTTATCTACATGCATTAACATCCATCTAGTAAATTTGTTTCCTCAGAAAAAGTAGCTTGTTGATTAATAGATAGCCATTAGATATTAACATATGACATTTGGGATATTACATTTATATTATAAACTGGAAATCATTATAAACATTTCACTACTATTATCCTTCCTTGTGATTGCATATATTAGTTAATGTAGCACCCTGAATGATGTAACAAAAGTGAATCTGATACTCAGTTTCTTAAGAAGAAGAAACATTTATTTTTCCCTTACGGTGTGGTCCGGGTGGTATTGATTAAGGTTACAGGTTTCTCTCTCTCTGTTCAAGTCAGCTGCTCTAAAAACTACCAACCAGTCACTGGAAAGGAGGAAGTGGCAGGACATGCATTTAAATTCCCTTCTTAGTGGCCTACCTCAGAAGCAGCAGCCCAGATCATAATTGATCTGATCAATGGACTGTCTCATTACAATGCCATATTTGACTGTTTTTCATCAGCACCAATAGAAATCAGAATTTGTGCAAGTTGTACTTCACAGCTACCTGTAAACCAAAAACAAAATTCAAAGACCCCTCCCCCAACCACCTGAATGGACTTCCTCCTCAGCTAGGATTCTTTTAAAATTTAACCTAAGAGACTGTTTCAGGCCATGACAGGAAGTGGGGGTCGGACATGCCTCATTGTACCTCTCCAACATTAACATCAACACAGACTTTAAGTCTGACAAGAAACATTTTACAACCTATTTTATCTAAAGCATAGTACCTAAAGGCTTCCTTTGCAAATAAGAACTTGGGTCTCCATAATCCTTTATCTTAACCAAGGCATTCCTTTCTGTTGATCCCAGGTCTTTAGATCAACTCAACCAATTGTCAATCAGAAAAATTTTAATTCTACCTATAAGCTGGAAGCCCCCACTTTGAGTTGTACCACCTTTCTGAACCAAACCAATGTATTTCTTAAATGTGTTCGATTGAAGTCTCATGTCTCCCCAAAATATATAAAACCAAGCTGCGCCCTGACCATCTTGGGCACATGTTCTCAGGACCTCCTGAAGGCTGTGTCATGGGCCATGGACACTCATATTTGGCTCAGAATAAATCTCTTCATGTATTTTAGAGTTTGATTCTTTTCATCAACATATTTTTTCAAGTTTTTGAGAGATTAAAAACAATCATAACTTTTGAGTTGCAAAGAGCAGTAGAAATTATTTAATCCAAGTTCTTCATCTGAGAGGTAGAAATACTGAGTCACAAATAGAGAAGAATGTTGGTTTGCACAGATGACTGTGGAATCAAAATTGAAATCTCTGGGACCCATATCCCAGGACTGTGCTTTTATCTACTGCCCCTGTTGCCTTTCAGAAATAAAAATTTCAGAATCCTCAAAAATATTCAATGAAATGTTTTTCTTTGGGAATAAGAGTAGATAAGAGTAGTAATTGAAAAGTCCAGTGATATGAGAGTACTAGGGGCAGCATATTTCTGAAAATAAACAGAATGTGTGATTTAATACACTTTGGAGTTCAAGCATAAGCATCCTTGAAGTAACTATATATCCTGCATCTTCAAGGAAAAGTTCATAAGAGCTTCCTGGAAAAGGTCAGTTCTGAAATTTCTTCATGACTTTCACTAGATAAAGAAGAATAGATATTTTTAGCAATGACAGCGTGCTGAGAGTCACAGGTACTCTCAGATATAGTACACCATGTAGTAATTGATATAGATTATAAATAACATTTTTCTTTGTTACTCTTTGCCTAAAGTGTTACTTTTTATAACAAAAACCTTGTTACTTGATCCAAAGCTTCTCAATCTTTCATCTGAAGTTTTGCAATTGCTCCCTCCCTGGTCTCCTCACTTTTGGCTTTATCTTTCTGTAGTCTATTCTTCCTCCATTGTCTGTAATAACAGTGTAAACAAGTAAATCACATCATATCTCCCCTATGCTCAAAATTCTCCAATGACTTTCATTCCCCTTGGAAAGAAAACAGAGGTGCATCATAGTATCCAACATTCTAATCATAGGTTTCTCCCTAAGAACACCAAAAATGTAGATCCACACAAAAACATGTGTGTGAATATTCATTGCATTGATGTTGATAGCCAAAAACGGAAACAACCCAAATATCTGACAACCCAACATTATAGTGGCTGCAGTGGCCATGAGACTGCCCGCCCCATTCCTCCCTCAATCCCAGGCAGCACAGCTTGAAAGAGATAGTGTCCTCTTGGGCAAAGGAGAAGAAAGTAGACAAAAGATGCTGCCTTGGAGCCCACTACTGGGGCTGCAACTGTGAGGCCCAGCCCTTGGCAGAGCCCTGCAGTGCCTGACTCAGTGCCTACAACTATGGATGAAGCATCCAGACCCACTCCAGCCCCAGGTGGAAACCTGTGGAAACACAGTAAGAACTACTCTCTGTAAGCCTTTTCCTTGGGAATAACACACCAACTGTGGATTTGCAGCAAACCAGGGTTTGAGGTGCCTTCTATTATGGCAATGCCCACAGGCTTAGAGTACCTGTCTGCTTATAATCTCTAGAAGGATGGGAACAAGCCCAGATACTGGAAACCTGCATAAATATGTAATCCTTCAAAGCACAGGTGCTGTCCCATGCCCACAGCCATGAACAATGCTTAGAGAACCAGAACCTTACCAAACAGATGAGACAGGGTGTCAGAGACCAGATCCTAAAGTGCTGAAGATGTGTGACCTCTCAAAGAACTCAAAATAGCTGTTTTAAGGAAATTCAATGACATTGAAGAATATACAGAGAAACAATTTAGTAATTTCTCAGAGAAATTTAACAGAGATATTAAAACAATTTTTTAAAGATCAAATTTTGGAGCTGAAAAATACAAGGAATCAAATGAAAAAATGCAATGTGCAGCATCAACAGAAGCAGAAAAAATATTTAGTGCTCTCAACAAACAAGCTCAAAGAAAATCTCCAGTCAGAGGAGAAGAAAGAAAGAGAAATAAAAGGAAAGAAAACCCATAGGAACTATGGGACAGAATAAACAGAGTAAATATTCTGATTAATGCGGTTCAAGAGGGTATTGAGAATGCTAAAGGGGTCAAAAGCCTTTTCAGAGAGATATACAAACATCCAAGTAGAGAAAGTTCACCAACCAGATTAACTCAAATAAGTCTACACCAAGACATACCCTAATCAAACTTTGCAAGGTCAAAGACAAAGAGAAGATCCTGCAAGCAGCAAGAGAAAAGAACAAAAATCACATAAGGGAGTTCCAATTCTCCTGGCAGCCGAATTTTCTGCATAAACCCTACAGGCCAGGAGAGAGCTGGATAATATTGTCAAGGTTGTTAAAAACAAAAAAGTGATAAACTGTCAACCAAGAATACTGTGCTCATACTCTGCTCAGCAAAGCTATACATCAAAAATGAAGGTGAGATAAAGACTTTCTCAAACAAAAGCTCAGAGAATTTCACAGACCTGTCCTACAAAAAAATGCTAACAAGAGTTCTACAAACTGAAAGAAAGAGATGCTAATGTGTAGCAAGAACACCTCTGAAGGCAGAAAACTTACTGGTAAGACTAAGTATAGAGACAAATTCAGGATACTTTAATACGATAAAGAACTTATATCTTTAGTATGAAGACTAAAATACAAAATTATTCAAAATAATAATAACTACATTAAATTGTTAAGAGATAGGCGATTGAAAAAAAAGATGGAATGTGGAACATCAAAAACGCCAAATGTGGGGGAGAACGCAAGTAAAGTACAGAGTTTTTAATTTTTTTAATTTTTTTGTTTTTAATTTTTTTTTTCCTAACAAAGTCAAGTTGATATTGGCCTAAAGTAACTTGTTATAACAAAAAAGTTTTTGGTAAGCCTCATGGTAATTGCAAATCAAAAACGTTTAATAGGTGTACCAAAAATAAAAGCCAACAACTCAGGAAACACTGCTAGACAAAGCCACATAGCTACAAAGAAAGACAATAAGAGAGAAAGGGAGAAAGGAAGTATTGAGAAAAAAAAAACTAGAAACTAAACAGCAAAATGGTAGCAGTATTTTTAAAAAATCAAGATCCAACTACAAGCTGCTTACTAGAAACTCACTTCACCTGTAAAGACACACATATACTAAAATTGAAGTGATGGAAAAGTATCTTCCATGCAAATGGAAACCAAAAGGGAGTATGAGTAGCTAAGTTTATATCACATAAAATAGTCTTTAAATCAAAAGTTTTAAGGAGAGACAAGGAAGGTCACCATACAGTGCAAAAGGGGTCAATTCACAAGGAGGATATAACAACTATAAGTGTGTATGCACCCAACATTGGAGCACATAATATATACAGGAAATGTTCCTAGACCTAAATAGAGAGATAGAAATGAGTACAGTAACATTAAGGAACTTCAACACCGCACTTTCAGCAATAGACATACATCATCCAGACCAAAAAAAAAAAAAAAAAAAAAAAAAAATCAACAAAGAAACAGCAGAGTTAAACTGCACCCAAGACCAAATGTACCTAAGAGACCAGAACATTCTACCCAGCAGCTGCAGAATATGCATTCTTCTCAGCAGCACATGGGACATCCTTCAGGAGAGATTGTATGCTGGCCACAAAAGTTTCAATAAATTTTAAACAATTAAATTGTTTCTGAACGCGTGCAATAAAACTAGATATCAATAACAAGAACTTAGGACTCTACAAGAATACATGAAAATTAAACAACAGGCTACTAAACAACCACTGGGTCAATGAAAAAATTAAACAGAAAATGACAAAATTTTTTGAGATAAATTATAAAGAAAACACAATATTTCCAAGCCAATGGAATCCAGGAAAAGCAGTGCTGAGAGAAATTTATAGCAATTAAGGCCTACATTAGAAAATAGAAAGATCTCAAATAAACAACTTAAAGTTACAACTCAAGAAACTAGAATAACAAAAGCAAAACAAACTCAAAATAAGTAGAAGAACTAATTAAGATCAGAGTAGGAATAAATAAAATAAGGGCTAAAAACTATTAAAGATCAGCAAAACAAAGTTTTTTTTAAAACATAAAAAATATTGACAAACTGTGAGCTACAGTAATTGAAAAAAAGAAGACTCAAATAAAATCAGAGATAAGAGCCATTACAACTGACACCGCAGAAATACAAATGATCATTAGAGTCTATTATGAACAACTATATGCCCAACAAATTGGAAAACCTAGAAGAAATGGATAAATTCCAGGACATATATAACTTAACAAAATGGAATCATTAAGAAATAGAAAATTTAAATAGACCAACAATTAACAACAAAATGGAATCCGTAATAGAAAAGTCTTCCATTAAAGAAAAGCCCAAGGCCAGATAGCTTCACTGCTGAATTTTATCAAGCATTTAAAAAAGTACCAATACCAATTCTTCTCAAATTATTGAAAAAAAAAATAATGTGGAGGGAATTCTACCAAACTCATTCTACAAGGCATAACAGCAAACCAGACAAGGACACAGACATGAAAAGAAAACTACAGGCCAATATCCCTGATGAACACAGGTGCAAAAATCCTCAGTAAAATATTAGTAAACCTAATCTAACAGCACAACAAAGAGATTATTCATCATGATCAGGTAGTATTTACTCCAGGGATGCAAGGATATGGAAATCAATAAACATAATATATCACATCCACAGCATGAAGGCAAAAACCTGATTATATTAATAGATGCAGAAAAAATTGGATAAAATCAACATATGTTTGTGATCAAATTCTCAAGAGATTAAGTATAGAAAAAATGTACCACAACTTATTAAAGGCTACATACCACAAACCCCACAGCTAACATCATACTGAAGGGAAAAAAATTGAAAGCCTTTTCTCTTTTCTCTAAAGTCTGGAATAAAAAAGATACCACTTAGAGCACTTTTATTAAACTCAGTACTGGAAGTCCTAACTTGAAATAGTCAGGCAAGAGAAAGAAATAAAGGACAATCAAAGTGGAAAAGAAAAAGTCAAATTGTTCCTGTTTCCAGATGACATAATGTGATATATAGTAAACTCCAAAGACCCACTGAAAAACTATTAGAACTAATAAGCAAATTTAGTAAAGCTGAAGGATAAAAAAATCAACATACAAAACTTAGTAGTGTTTCAATACCAATAGCCAATAAATAATGAATTATCTTAAAAAAATGAAGCAAACAATCTATTTTACAATAACTACAAAAGTACAACACCTAGGAAATCATTTAACCAAAGTGGCAAAAGAACTCTACAATGGAACCTGTAAAACATTAATAAAATAAATTGAGAAGACACTAAATAAATGGAAAGATAGTCCATGTTTATGGGCTGAAATAACTAATTTGGTAAGTTGTTCATACTACCCAAAGTGAGCTATAGATTCTATGAAATCCCCATCAATAGACAGATAATATTCTTCACAAAAAGAGTAAAAAGCAATTCTAAAACTTGTATGGAACCACAAAAAATCCACAAATAGTCAAAGCAATATTGAGCAAAAAGAACAAAGATGGAGGTATCACACTACCTGAGTTTAAAACATACTACAAAGCTATAGTAACTAAAACAACATGGTAATGTCATTAAAAAGAGACAAATAGACCAATGGAAAAGAATAGAAAGTCCCTAAATAAACCTACACATCTATAGCCAACTGTATTTGACAATAGTGCCAAGTATACACAGTGGAAGAGGAGAGCTTCTTTAATAAATGGGGCTGAGAAAAGTGTATATCCACATGCAAAAGAATGAAAGTAGACCCTTGTAGTGCACCACATATGAAAATTAACATGAATTAAAAACTACAGAATGGGAGAATATATTTGTAAAATATACCTCAGGTAAGAGCTCATATCCAAAATATGTAAGAAACTCAAATAACAACAAACAAAAGAGCTGAATAGATATCTATCAAAATAAGACATACAAACAGCCAACAGGTATATGAAAAAATGCTCAGCATCACTAATAATCAGGAATATGCAAATGAAAATAATAAGAAGCCTCCTCACTCCAGTCAGAATGGCTACTAACAAAAAAATCAAAAGATAACAAGTGTTGGCCTGGATGTAAAGAAAAGGAAACTCTTACACATTACTAGTGCAAAATAGAGAAGGTACCCTTCCACATTATTGGTGGGAATATAAGTGAGTACAGTCATTATGGAACATATTATGAAGGTTTCTAAAAAATTAAAAACAGATCTAGCAATGCCACTATTGGGTATATGCAAAGGAAATAAAATTAATATATCAAAGTGATATCTGCATTTATTTATTTATTTATTTATTTATGTGAGATGGAGTCTCTCTCTGTTGCCCAGGCTGGAGTACAATGGCGTGATCTCAGCTCACCGCAACCTCCGCCTCCTGGGCTCAAGCAATTCTCCTGCCTCAGCCCCCCAAGTAGTTGGGATTACAGGCACGTGCCACCACATCCAGCTAATTTTTGTATATTTAGTAGAGATGGGGGTTTCACCACGTTGGCCAGGCTTGTTTTGAACTCCTGACCTCTAATTATCTGCCCACCTCAGCCTCCCAAAGTGCTGGGATTACAGGTATGAGCCACTGTGCCTGGCCTCCTATGTTTATTGCAGCACCATTCACCATAGCCAAGATATGGAATCAATCTAAATGTCCATCAACAGACAAAAGGTATAGATACACAATGGCATACTATTCAGCCATAAAAAGTAATGAAATCCTGTAATTTATGGCAACATAGATGAACCTGGAGGACATTATGTTCAGTGGAATAAGCCAGGCACAGAAAGACAAATACTGTGTAATTATACACGTATGTGACATTGAAAATGTTGTCATAAAAGTAGAGGGTAAAATGGTGGTTACCAGAGGATGGGAACGGTGGCAGGGGGAGACGATGAGACAGTGGTCAATGGGTGCAAGCTACAGTTAGATGAGAGGAATAATTTCTGGTGGTCTACTGGATAGCGGGATGATTAGAGTTCAAACGAATGTATTCTATATTTCAAAATGGCCAGAGGAGAGGTTTTGAATGTTCTCATCATACATAAATAATAAATATTTAAAGTGATGGATATGCTAATAACCCTGATTTGATCATTACATAGTCTATACGTGTATGGAAACATCCTGTTGCATCCCATATGTATGCACAATCATTATGTGTCAATGACAGACTTAAAAGATTAAATTAAAAAAGAACTATTGATTCATGCTACAACCTGAATGTTTGTCAAAAACACCTTACCAAGTGAAAAACACCAGAGACATCAATAACAAAATGCTGGAAAAAGCACAGAAAGCAGATAAGTGGTTTTCTGAGGCTGGGTTTGGTGGAAGGATTAACAGCGAAGGGACAGTAAGGAACTATTTGGTGTCACGGAAAGGTTCTGAAACTTGCTAGTGGTCTTGTATCTTTGCATACATTAACAAACTCATTGAACTGTAAGCTAAAAATACATGAATTTTATTGTATTACACCTCACTAAATCCAATGAAGGAAAGAAAAAGCACTTAGAGCCTTCTCTCCCAGCATTCTTTTTGTTTTGTGCTGCAGCTCCGTTGGGCCACTTGAAGTAGCTGCGGGACGCATTGCTATATTCCAAGTCTTCAGTCAACTTATTTTCTCCACTAGGAACAACACTTTCTTCCCTTTACTTATTGGGGGACTTCAAATTTCTTACCAATTATTTTGTTCCACCCATTCAACGTTTGGCAGAAATTTCTAATGATCTTCTACTTTATGAACGTTTGACATTTTGAATAAATGCTTATCCAACATTCTTTCACATTTTAGTATCTGTATGCATGACTTCTCAGGTTAAAAACATTCCTCAAGTCAGGCACTCAGAAGGATTTCACCTTGGTAGCCTTGGTACCTAATTTCGTGCCTAGAACGTAGGAAGTCCTCAGTATACAGTTGCAGTATTAAATTCCTCTAAACATTGACTTCTTTTCTTGACATCTTTTAATTCTTAGTGTTAATTTTACTTGAAAACCTCACAAATTTGAAGCAACAGTGAGAATCCTAGCACAGTGGGTGTCCGGGGCGGGGAGCTCTGCCTGATTCTCCAGCCTCTTCCCTTGAGGTGGGAGGTTCGTTATTTGTAGGAACATCTGGATGGTCATGTCAACTGGGCATCACCCCCTAAATTGAACCTGTGAGGGTCAGCCCTTATTTCATACCCCCGGGTACTACCCCCTACCCTGACCTTCCTACATGTCACCCCTACCGAAACCCCACCCTGGAGCCCTTTTGTGGGGACTCCCTCCTCCTGGGAATCCACCAACTCATGCTCTGCCTCAGGTGCCCAGACTGGGCTGGCTGGCTTCGGTGGAAGCGCAGATTCTGACTGTGGAGAGGAACCTTTGCTAAGCAAGGTTCAACAGAGGCCACGAGATGTGTTACAGGCAGAGTCATTGGACAATAAATTTGTAGGCATTGAAGAGAAAAACCAATTCTTCCTTGAAGAGTTTCTGAAAACTAAAGCAAAACTCATCAGAATAGAAGACACCAGCAGCATAATTTATTCAGAGGAAGCCACCAGGTGCTAACTGAGATTTGAAAATAAATCCCTCCCTTTGAAACGTCAGGCATGGCTCGGAATATAAGCAAGACTTTCCCAGGACCTGAAATGGACTTCAACCTGCTGTATGTATTCAAATAGAGCCTGTTTCTTTAGAGTACTTTTCACGTATGAGAAGTTTTAACAAAGAGCTCAAGTCATTATTAACTCATGCATTATTTGTAAAAGTAAAATTAGTAAATGCGTGCTTACATAATTTTTCATTTCAGCATTTATTAAATAGGAGGGCTGTCAATTGGGACAGGAGGAAAAATGGAAGTTAGTGTTTTTTTCATCCTCTTCTCAGAATCTGAAAGGTCTGCCTCTGATAGAACCAACCTAAGACACGGTCCAATAGACCATCTCAGTTGGTTGCAACTCCTTCCTTCCAGTTATTCAGGTCTAGTAGATTGAAGTAAATTTTTACTTTGAAATACAAATTTTATTTATATTTTTTCCTGCTTATATATTGTCTCTAACATTCATGTTAAAGAATTATTTAAAGAATAATAGGCCTGGCACTGTGGCTCACACCTGTAATTCCAGCACTTTGGGAGGCTGAAGCAATAGATCACTTGAAGAGTTCGAGGCCAGCCTGGCCAACATGGTGAAACCCCATCTCTACCAAAAATACAAAAATTAGCCCGGCGTGGTTGTGTGTGCCTGTAATCCCAGCTACTCAGGAGGCTGAGGCAGAAGAATTGCTTGAACCCAGGAGCCAGAGGCTGTAGTGAGCCGAGATCGCACCACTGCGCTCCAAGCTGGGTGACAGAGTGAGACTCCATCTCAAAAAAAAAAAAAATGAAAATAAAAAATAAAAGAAAAAAAGAAAGGGAAGGAAGGAAGGAAGGATTATGCAATTGTGTTTTCTTTCTTCACATTTTTCTTTTTTTCTAGATATTCTCCACCCAGGACTTGCAGAAGGACTCATGTAATACAGTATAGGGTAAACTTTAGAAATCTCTGTAGATTGCAGGATCTGAAAGCAATTTTTCCAGCTTCATAAGATTTAGCCAAGAAGAGAACAGGTCACAAATAAAAGCTTTGTTTCTGCTAAGAGCTGAAATTAGCAGATTTCATAAATTGAGATTTTATAAGATTTATAAATGTTCCAAATATCAGAAGTTGGAGTTCTAGCCCCTAATCCCTCAAAATGTGACCTTATTTGGAAACAGGGTCTTTAGAGAGGTAATCGAGTTAAAATGAGATCTTCAGGGAGGCTCCTAAACCAATATGACTGGTGTCCTTATTAAAAGGAGAGAGACTTAGACACAGAGACACATGCAGAGGGAAGATGATACGAAGGAAACCCAGGGAGAAGGCGTCCACCTCCAAGTCAAAAGGAGAGCACTGAGCGATTCTCCTTCAAACCCTCCAGACAAACCAGCCCTGTTGATGTTTTGATCTTGGACTTGCAGCCTCCAGGACTGAAAGACAATGCATTTTTGTTCTTTAATCCGGCCTGTGGTGCACTGTTACAACAGCTCTAGCAAACGAATGCAGTATTGATTATGGAACCTGGAGGAGACCTGAGAAGCAGTGTCTGGGAGCCACCCTGAGGAGGGCAAAGCCGAGGGCAGGGCACCACCTCGTGTGATAGGAAAGGCAGCTGAACGTTCCAGGTCCCTTTACTGCAAAGATGGGATCTGCGCACACAAGTCCAGTAATTGACATGAAGACTCGGAGTCCTGCGTGGACGGAGCAGCCAGCCTCGACATCCGGAAGTCACGCAGGCACCAGAACGCAGCAGATGCAGTGACCTGGTAGGCTGGTACCGACAGCCAAGTAACGCCTTAGAAACTGGATGCAAGGGGACGGCAGAACAAAAGGGATGGACGGTGCTTTCTCCATAGTAGAAAATGCTAGTCCCTGAGAACTTCAGTCTTATACGGGCAAAGACTGAGAGACGACTTAACCAAAGGCAGGAGTTTTAAACATACAACAATAAAATTTCCTTGAATTGGCAAGTGTTAAATGTCTTTCACTGGTGCAATGAGACTATGCTCTGAGATAATTTGAGTTTTATAGCAACAGCATTAAGTCTTTACATATGTGAGCATATAACATGTGAAATTTGTATATGCAACCCCATGACTGCTTTTTCATAACTTTACACGGAGAATGTTAAGGCTAGGTGAAGTGTAGAACTCTTAAACTCGTTTACATTTGTATACAACCTGCTTCATTGTAAACATATAGCAGTAAGTACTAAAATATGATTCCGTGGATAACACTGAATTCTATCTAATTGAGTAAACATCCATTAAACATTTGTTATGTGTAAGGCCACACAGTCTGAGATACAAAGATGTTTATGATATTGTCTGTAAGAAACTCAATCCCTTAGAGTAGATAAAAGAGGTAGAAAATGCACAGGACAAACACAAAGAAGTACAAAGCCTGAGAAGAAGGGTTCGATGCGCGAGCAGTAAGAAAGGCGACAGACATGCTTGATAAAACCTCAGTAATACATTTAAATGAACCCAGGGCCCAGTAGGGAGGCAGTGTAGCATTTCGCAGGAAATGAATGCTGTACTGAGAAGTGTCTTCAATTTTAGTTTAAAGAGTATATGTGTTATTTATTAGACAATAAGGCAAATGGAAGTTTTCAAGCAGCAGAGTAACATGAGTAAATTTGTATTGTAGGCTGTCTACAGTGGGAAAGTATGAGAACTAGCATGCAAAAGCCATATGCAAAACAGTTACAATCATCTGAGGAAAAAATAGAAATTACTTGAGTTACTGTGTTGGAAGTTTAAATGAAAAGGAGGAGTTAGGTCTTAATATGAGTAGCATTGTGCAAGTGGAGTCAATTTGTTACCTTTCTATAGGAAATGGAAGTGGCAGAAAGGAAGAAAACAGAGACTCTAAGATTCTGGCCCTAGGGCCCTACATTAGAATGATAACACTAAGCAATTTCTGAATGTCAAGAAGAAGAACATGACTTTGAGAGGATGTAAGGAGTTCACATATAAACCTGTTCACTTTAAAGTGAAATGAAGTTTCATATCTGGATATCATAAATATGAGACTGGAGATGAGCAGAAACATGGATTCAGCAGATGGAGACTAGAGAAGAAAACCCTTACTGAGTCGGAGAGGTGAGACAGCTGGATGGAAGTGGAGCTGCAAACAAAAAGATGGTTGAAGAAGGAATATAGACACATTTGTAGCATTTGCATTTAGAGTGGGGCGTTAGAAGGAGAAATAACAGCAAAAGAAAAAACAGGTAATTAGAAATACAGGAGGAGAATCAGTATAATGCAATGTGAGAGAAGAGAAAATATTCTGAAAAGGAAAGGTGATCCAATGCAGGTGCCTTTAGTTTCAAGGAGGGTGAGGACTAATAAAAGGGTGTGTGTGATAATTATCACTTGTTACTAAAAGAATCATTTCAGCAGATTTATGTGGATAGAATAAGTCTGTAACTCCACCATCGATAAACGTTGGTGAGGCAGATGAAGCAAGGGTAGGTTGATCTTTTGAGGAGTCAGTCAACATAGAAAAAAAGACAAATAAGATGTTGAGGGAGAATCAGGATTGAAGGCATTCTTCATTTTCTTCCTTTGATAAAGAATGTTCTAAATTAAAAAAGGTTGACAGGAAAATGCACTTGTACTTACAAGAAACAAAATGTTTAAAAAAAAATCAGAAAGAATCTTAGGTGGAAGACAATGGAATTATTAGACATTGAGGAAATTGGTCTTCAGAAACAAATCAACGAAACACATAACTAACACACCACATAAAACAGGAAGCAGAGCAGTAAGGAGTTTTAGGAAAGTGAAAATACTCTGTACAATGCTATAATGGTGGATACATGTTATTATACATTTGTTCAACCTGTAGAATGTACAAGGCCAAATGTAAAGCCGAATTTTAACCACTGACTTTGGGTGATAATGATGCATCAATGTAGGCTCATGGTCCATGTAGGTAACAATGGGGCCACTCTAGTGGGGGATGTTCATAACTGGGGAGGCTTTGCATATGGGGTGGGGCCAGAGGGTAGATGGAAACTAATTTCTCTTCAATTTTGCTGTTAACTTAAAAGTGCTCTAAAAAAAATTAAGTATGTTAAAAAATGAAGGAGACTTTTGAGACAAAACATGGAGAGAGAGAGTAGAAATAAGAAGGAAAAAAAGAAGAAGAAGGGAAGATAAATGAGAGCAGCCAAACAAAAAAGTGTCCAGAGAGCATGTGGGGAGGGGTCAATCGAAGCCATCATTTGCGTTACTGTTTAACCCCACTTAATCAAAAACCGCCCTTCAAAACAGAACACCACACATACACAAATGCCTTTGTGAAAATAAGAAAGTAACTTTGGATCTGTTTAGTGAAACAAATAATAACCCATGGGATTGGGAGACATCCCGTGCAACTATTTAAGCCGATGCAGATACTTGGATCCAAAGGATACCATAAAAGTATGTTTCAAATAAATGCCTTGGCATCTGATCTCAGGTCAGGGCTACAAGGTTCAATTCAATCTCACATGGAGGTCAGGAACAAAGACATTCAACTGTATATCTTGGAAGAATACTATGTGTTTTCATCATTTTTGTTTGGTAGACAAGAGTGAGTGCAATTGAAAATGAGACTATCAAAAGTAAGAATAGCAGAATTCTGAGAAAGATGAGAAAATTGATAGCAAATTATATAGAGGACATTGGGACCTAGTTCAGTAAGGAAGGACATCAGGTGAATTTCTGCTGCATTTCAAGAGGAACATTTCATTTATTTATGTAAATCCAAGAAATAAAAGAGAAATGATAAAGTCACAAGTTACTGATGTCTTTCTATGTGACAACAAGGTACTCAGTTGCCCGACACAAATCTCAAATAATTAACCTGGGAATCATGTCATCAAAAGTCCCATTTTACAGATAAATAACACATGCCAGAGATTAGACAGCTTGTGCATTATCACATCACCTACTACATGGGAAGGGCAAGACTCACCCACAGATCCGAAGGCTCTCAACACTCCTCTCCATGTTGTAGTGCAAACAATGCAGTTTGCATTACAGAATTCCAAAAGCTACATAGAAAGTTAATTCAGCTCCCATGCTTCATATTCATTCTTCTTTAACAAACATTGAAACAGTCATAGGTTATTGCATTATAAAATATATATATTTTTTGCATATAAAAATGTAAATATGCAAAAATATAAACATGCAAAAAATAAAAATATGCAAAATATGCAAAAATATATAAAATATAGGTAATTGCAGGTTATTTATAGGTTATTGCATTATAAAAAATTGCCTGTTTGTTCTTGATACTGCTCAATTAAAATATTTTAGATTACATTAAGGGAATGAGGGTAGATTGTAGATGGAGATTTTTCATGGTCACTATTTAAAACATTGTCTTTTGTCTTAATTTTAGATTCAGGGGGACACAATGTACAGGGTTGTTACATGAGTATATTGCATGACTCTGAAGTTTGGGCTTCTAATGAGCCTGTCAGCCAAGTAGTGAACATAGTACCCAATAGGTAGTTTTTCAATTGTTAACCCTCACACTTCCCCCTTTTGAACCCCCCAGTGTCTATTGTTTCCTTTTTTGGGGCCATGTGTACCCAATGTTTAGCTCTCACTTATCAAGTGAGAAGATGTAGTATTTGGTTTTCTGTTTCTGTGTGAATTCGCTTAGGTTAATGGCCTTCAGCTGCATCCATTTTGCTGCAAAGGACATGATTTCATTCCTTTTTTACAGCTGTGTAGTATTCCATGGTGTACAGGTACCACATTTTCTTTATCTAATCCACCATTTATGGGTACTCAGGTTGACTCCCTGTCTTTGCTATTGTAAATAGTGCTGCAATAAACATACGCATGTGTGTGTCTTTATAGTAGAAAGATTTCTATTCCTTTGGGTATAACCCTGTACTGAGATTACTGAATCGAATGGCAGTCCTGTTTTTAGATCTTTGAGGGATCTCCAAACTGCTCTCCACAGGAGCTGAGCTAATTTACACTCCCACCAACAGTGAGTGGATAAACATTCTCTTTTCTCCACAGCTTTGCCAGCATCTATTATTTTTTTCACGTTTTAATGATAATCATTCTGACTTATTGGCTGTGTGTATGTCTTCTTTTAAAAAGGATGTGTTTTCATGTCCTTTGTTCACTTTTTAATGGGGTTACTTGTGTTTTTTTTTTCTTGTTGATTTAAGCTCCTTATAGATTCTAGATACTAGTTCTTTGTCAGATGCATAGTTTGCAAATATTTTCTCCCATTCTGTGGGATGTCTTTTCTGCTGAGAGCTTCTCTTGCTGTAGAGAAGCACTTTAGTTTACTTGGGTCCCATTTGTCTATTTTTGATTTTGTTGCATTTGCAAAGCATTGTCTTCAATATACTCAGAGTTAATCTTTAAGCTTTGTTCATCTACAGTTTGACTTATAAATCAACACGGGGTTTGTGATAATACAGCATTTTCGATCAAGTTATTTGTTTTCACTTCCTGGTAGATTTCAGAATATATACGGCTCTTTAGTATTTTTTTTCATTTTTTAGTATTTTTTCCTTTAAAAAGTTATTTTAAAAAAACCTTAGTAAATCCTTACAAACTTGACAGATTAAACTTATTTGATCTGTGGTTATAATTGACCGTATTCACTTTTAAGTGGCGGCACAGCAGAGATTAGGTTTCAAATGCAGACGCTAAGTCGTGCTTTGTGATGTTGGGCAAGTTTTTTAACCTTTCTAGACTTTGGTTGCTGCATCTTAAACGAGAATGGTAATTATACCTATCTCAAAGGGTTGCTATGAGAATTAAGGGAGTTAATAAATGTAAAACCCTTGGAACAGTGTCTGGTAATGAGAACATAAATCAGTTGATTAAAACCTAACAGAACTGTCATAGATGTCAGACTTGCCTGTCAAGTATATGCAATATTATTATAACTGCATTCCACATGTTCAAAAAACTTAGAGTCATGGAAAATATTTTTAAAATCTCAAAATTATAGATATGAAGACTACAGTTTATCATATGGAAAATATAAAGCACAAGATTAACGGTGAATTAGTCATTCCAGAATAAAAGACTAGTGCATTTGAAGCTATATCAGTATAAGTAGTTAAATTGAAACAGAGAGAGAAATATTAACAAATAAAAATTGAATAGAGCCTCTGTAAAAAGTAGAGCAATTCAAGTTGCTGAATGCTAGTGCCATGAGAGTCTCCAAAGAGAGGAGGGAAGGGTGGAAACAGAAAAAAAATGGAAAATATAATAGTTAATTATTTTCTAAATTTTACTAATTCAAAAGAAACATGAAGAAAACATCACAAATTGCTCAAAGACAGTGATAAGAAGAAAATCTTGTAAAAAGTCAGAAAAAATATTGTGCATTATGTATAGAGGAACAAAGATTAAGAATTACAGAAGATTCCTTAGCAGATTCAAATCATAGAAGGTTGTTCTCTCATCAAAATGGAATTAAATTACAAAGCAATAACAGGAAGAACTGTGGTACATTCCCACATATTTAGAAACTGATCAGCACATTTGTAAATAATCCATAGATCAAAGAAAAAATCAAAAATAAAATAAGGAAATATACAGAATGAATAAGAAAACGCCATGTATTAAATGTGTGGGATAACCCTAAGGCAGCGAAGTAAGAGCTGCAGTCCTAAGTGCTAATAGTAGAGAAGAATTTCTTAATTGAATGACCCTAGTTTTCACATTCAAACACTAGGAGGAAAAACAAGTAAGTGTTCCCCCAATTTATTAGTAGAGGAAATACTCATAATCACCGCGAAAAGCATAACAGAAAACAATAGAAAACATCAATGAAACCAGAAGCTGATTCTTTGAGAAAATTTTAAAATTTATAAAATTGTAGTTAGCCTGATCTGAAAATAGAGAAGAAACAAAATGTGAGAAAGGTGACATCACCAGAGAAACTACTAATATTAAAATAATAAAGGAATATAATGAGAAAATGAATGCTAAAAATCTAGCAAC
The DNA here is from genome assembly GCF_000001405.40 of Homo sapiens. Lineage (NCBI taxonomy): Eukaryota > Metazoa > Chordata > Mammalia > Primates > Hominidae > Homo > Homo sapiens. The sequence continues at coordinate 926,465 of NT_187576.1, forward strand.
TTAGATGGGTGGGCAAATACTCTAAAAGATACAAACTTGCAAAGCTCATTCAAGAAGTAATAAATAGACCAAATAGCCATATAGCTAATAAAATTATTGAATTTGTACTTACAAATTTTCCCTCAACAATGTTCCAAATATCTTTAGGCCTTGAAGGTATGTGTGGTGAAATATCACAAAGATTTAAAGGAGAAACAATGCCAATACAACTCCTGTAAATTTGAAGAGGTACACACACTTACCTGCTTGTCCCGTGAGGCCAGTATTATCCCAATACCCAAGTGAGATAGAGACTTTATAAGAAAAAAAATAGTGCAGATCAGTTTAGTCCATGAATGTAGAAACAATGTTTCTAAACTAAATTTTATCAAATAGAATCCAAAAACATATAAAACAATAATATATCATGACTAAGTATTATGTATCCTGGGAATGCAAGGTGGATTGCATTAGAAAACCAATTGATGTAATTCACCATGCTAACACACTACAGAGAAACAACAACAACAATAACGTTATGTTTTTCAATAGATGCAGATAAATATTTGACAAAATTCAACATCCATTATTGATCAAAACTCCCTGCAAGCTATGAGTAAAAACTCATTTTTCTCTCCCCTTCAACTTGAGTAAGTGTCTCTATGAGAACTGTTGTTAATATCACATTTACTCATAAAAGACCATATACTCTTCTTACGATACGAAACAAAACAAGTGCATTCACTGTCACTACATCTGCCAACCATTATACTGAAGGTTTGATCCAGTGCAATAATAAAAGAATATAAAACAAAAGGTGTATGGATTGGAAAAAAACAACCCTAAATTTATCCACAGAAGAAATAATCATGTATGTAGCATATCTAGAACGATCTATTTTAAATCTGCTAGAACTAATAAGTGAGTTGTAGAATTCAAAATCAACATAGAAAAACTATATTTTTAAGTAACTGTGATGAACATTTGGAAGTAACAGTTAGAAAATAATATATATTATCATCCAAAAAGAAATATTTAAGGTTTATTTACTCCAGTACACTTCAAGATTTATACAGTAACCACTACAAAGCATTGCTGATAGAATATAAATAAAGCAAACCCACATACATGGGGAGATATACCATGTTCATGGATTGGAAGAACAAAAATTGCCACACCTCAATTCTTTCCATAGTGACAATGATAAGCAAAAATTTTGGTATACAAAAAACAGAGAAAGTACCTTAGCCAAAACTCTTTTGGGAAATAACAAATTTGGAAGACTCCAAGTATAAGGCAGATTGTATAACAATAGTGATAATGATAGTATGATATTACTTAGGAATAGATAGAGAAATAGAACAAAGAGTAGAAATATAGCACACACACAGGAGGAATTAATTTTTGTCAAAGGTGCTATAGGAATTCAATAGAGAAAAGGTATTTTTATTAAAAATAGTGCCAAAACGATTGGCCAAATTAATTTCATCTCTCATGTGGTCTAAAGTACTGTATTCCAAAGTAGTTATTTTAGTCCATTTGGGTCAAAATAAATAGAGACGTTTGTTTAAAGTCCAACTTCTAAAACTTCTGCTCAGCATTTGAATCTGAATCACTAATGGGCTCTAGAGCCAGCATCCCAAATTATTTGATTAACAATAGCATGTGAGAACCACTAGGCTATAGGAGAAACAAGACGTGTTTATTTAAACGTTTTAGCAAAAACACAATATAGTGGACTGATGGGAAGGGAAAATGAAGTGAAAATTTATGGACACCTGATATGTGAAAAGTTCTCTGCTGTATCAGGGGTCCAGTCTCTGCTTTACTACCAACTAGCTATGCAACCTTCATTAAATCAGTAATCTCTGTAGCACATTATTCCATTTATGAAGACCAAGAGGAACATTTTGAACACCTCTAATAGTCTTTGCCACTCTCTTATTAAAGAATTAGGCTCAGCTGGATGCGGTGACACACGCCTGTAATCCCAGCACTTTGGGAGGCCAAGGTGCGTGGATCCCGAGGTCAGGAGATCAACACCAGCCTGGCCAATACGGTGAAACCCCATCTCTACTAAAATACAAAAATTAGCCGGGTGTGGTGGTGTGCACCTGTAGTCCGAGCTACTCGGGAGGCTGAGGCAGGGGAATCGCTTGAACTCGGGAGGCGGAGATGGCAGTGAGCAGAGATGGAGCCAGTGAACTCCAGCCTGGTGACAGAGTGAGACTCTGTCAAAAAAAAAAAAAAAAAAAAAAAAAAAAAAAAAAAAAAAAAAGAACTAGGTTCATGGGGAAAAAAACATATCCACCACTCTGGAAGCTCACATATGCTGTTTTTCTAGACAACAGAAAAATGAACTTTAAAATCTGTTAATATTTTAATACATTCAGACAATGTTAAAATAAATCAAAACTGTACCTCAAATTTTCTTTAAACTCAACATTTTATTTTCAGGCTTAAATGATCTCAATTATTGTTTTACTCTTCCATTAAATTACTCTTAGATTACTTAATAATTTTAATTTAAATGAATTTCAAAAATTGCATTGTGAAGATGATATTTTAGAAGGTTAATAAATCTGAAAATTATTTAAATATTTTACATAATTTAAGTGTATTACGGGTCAATGCGAAGGTATGATGTCCAGAGCCCAGTTAGCTAAAATGCTGAATAACTGGAAAAAAACACAGCGTCTAGGCAAGAACTATTTTTCCACGGGCTGCTAATACAATTTCAAAAAGAAATCAAAATTTTTAGACTGTTGCTTTTGAGATATTTTGTCTGTTACACTTCAAAATCAACTGAAAACTTTGCATGCATCTTGCTTTATCTTAGCTATTTCACACGGGAATTTCAGCATATGCTTCCTACAAAATGTAGCATATTAAATAATTCAAAGTTACTTTCTTTTTATTATGTTCTGTAGAAAGACATTTCCACTCAGTTACTCCCCCACCCACGCTACACACTCAGTTTCCCCCCAACAACCCTATCCATTTGGTTTTCACCCCACCCACTCTACCCACCCATTTTGCCCCACATCCATCCTACCCACTCAGTTTTCCCCCAACCTACTGGTCAAAATGAACTTCACAGCACATGTGTTGTATTTGCCAGATGGTCAGGGCCATCCGCCTATAAAAGGCAGGGGCTCCTTCAGCTGAGGAGTGTGCTGAACAGTTCTGCACTCACACAATTCCATCTGTCTTCCCTGTTTCACCCTTTCCATCCAGGAGGTTAGAAGAAAGGAGAAACTGAATTAAATACATCCTGTTAAAATATTTGTTTTCACCTCCAGTTTTGAATAGATCCAATTAGTGCCTATATAAACATTTTGTTTAACCTGTGCAGGAGACATATATGAGTTTATGAACCAACATTCCCATTTCCCTTACAAAAAAAGTCTTTCATTTTGCATTACATTATACATTAAAGGCTTTGTTTCCAGAAAGATACTGAGATGGGGGAAAGGAAAAGGTATTGTTAAAGAAGCCCATGAACTATTGTACAAGAAATGTCACAGATTTACTACAGAACACCACAGGTCATCTACAAGATATTCTGGCTAATTTATAACTAAAACCTTGGAAATATAAGAATGGCCTTTCACAAAGGATTAGCCATTAGCCATCATTAACATACAAACCCTTGGAGCCTTCCTGAGAGCAATAGTTAAAACACTGACAGGTGTTTTAATGCCACAACTAAACTGACTCCACTTTTTGAAATAGTTGTTTTTGATTACATTAACTATGTTGGACTTGAATTTCAACTGTGTGGCATGAATTATATTTTTACAATTAGCATATTGAGTCAAAATGACAGGAATTATAAATAATTTCCAGATATAAAATTTAAGAGATAAATCATGCTTTTAATGTCACACTAAAATGGTTCCCTTTGTTAGTCTCATTTTCCTGTACAATGCACATTTTACATGTTAGGAATTAAGTAGTCATTGGAAGCAGAATTTAGCACTGTTTCTACTTAGTTACCACTTTTTGATCAATAAAATTATTTCAGTGTACTATTTGCAGTTTTCTAGATTTGTTCTGAAAGTCATAGAATGCATATTAAATGAAGTAGGTTATTTTTACCCAGCAAATTACCAAGACATGGAAGAGGGGTGGTCATATTGGGAAGCATATGGTGAGAAACGGAAACTCACAGCCTTGTTCTTGGGTGTATGAATTGTTGTAACCCTTTTAGAGGACAGTTTTGCTCTATTTCAAAAACTTTAAAGGGGTGCATACTCTTTGACCTAGAAAATCCACTTCTAAGAATTTATGATAGAAACAGTACATGTGTTCCTACTGCTGATTCTCATTAGTCTTGCTGGTTATGTTCTCAAAGTCACCACAGACACTGAATTAGTGAAGACTGAACTGCTGCCCCCAGCCAGAGCGCAGGGTGAGGTTCCTATGAGCCTCTGACTGCAATGTTTTCATGAGCTGATCAATATGTGTGTTTCCATTTAAAGACATCTTATTTGTTATATATTGTTGATTTAACATTGAACTGATGACCAACAGCAATATAACTCATGCAGAGAATAAATTGTACCTAACAGATGCATTTTCATTGCAAGACACATCACACCCTCTTGTGGCTAGGAACTCCAGCGGGCACTTCCGCATATGCTTGGGGGGCATTTTAAACAGCAAAGTTGCTAAGGAAAATTGGAAAATTACTAAAAAAAAAAAAAGGCTAAAAATTAACAAAAACATGTCACTAAATATACCGTGGAAAGGATACCTGTTTTCAGCATGAGCACTGAAGCAAGCAAGCAGAGTGTCCTAGTTTAGGCCTCAGCTTGGAATGTGTTCTAGGGCAACTGACATTTTTCACCACCTGTGCATGGATGCGAATGACCAGAGAAGCACTGTGAGTATTAATTTTGCAAATTAAGCTCAGCAAGTTGATGAATTCACAGATCTGACATCACAAATGATAAGCATTAACTATATTCATATTTATGTAAGATATACATTTGTGTGTATATACACACCCCCACACACAAGAATATATAAAGATGTGCATCATGATATCATCTATAATAATATCTATTACAAAGGTCTAAAGTATACAAGTTGAGTGCTTATTCCCTGAAAATGCCATCAAAATAGAATGAATGCTGATAAGCAAAGTTGAGTGAAGGGAGAGCACTTCCTCAACAGTGTTAGTGTCTGAGAAAGGGTGGAACGAAGGTGTAATATTTCAAGGGTTTCTGGAGTCTGATTTACTGTGGAAAGTTCAGTGCCGGGCTTGATTAGGATTGGGTAAGCTCCATGATGTGAGTTTAGTGAGTTTAGTGCACACACACGAGAGTCCAGAGAGGAAAGTTTGAAAGCAAGGCTTGAATGGTGAACAGTCATTTGATGCTATCTACTGCAAGTTGCTTAGGCTGGTATCCCTTTATGTGACGTTATGGAAAGCTCCTGAACTACACAATAGAGTTGTCATCATATCAGCCTGTTTTAATCACACATAGGGTTTTGTTTTAATTGGGTATGGTAAGATGATAGTCACAGACACAACCACGTTGAAGGAAAAGTGTATTTATTACTCATAGTTCTCAAGAGGAGGGGCCATCCCATGCCATGCAGGGCCACACAGGAAAGCACTGGTGTTGGTTCAGTGGCAGAGTGAGGAGAACATGGGCTGGAGACCTCACCACAGTGGGGAAGGAATGGGTAAGGCAAGGTCAATGTATGCACCAAGAGTAGGATTGGATTGTTTCAGTAAGTTCAGCAGCTCTGGGCCATAGGGATCATCTGCAGTTATTCTGTACCTGCCCCTCGGGGTGATTTTGGACAGGGGAAATACTTGCGTGGTGTAAAAGAGTTAGAAGAAGATGGCTGAGAGGATGGACTTTGGATACAAAAGGTGAGCTCACCTGCTGGTTGTGTGTTGTCTCTAGGAATTAGCTGACTCTAAGAAGATGTCAAGGCATCATAAAATACAATTTTTACAAAAACATGAGTAATACACAACCCAGGCAAGAATTTCCTGGACGGTAATGTCGTGGTGAAGAAGATAGCTAAATAGTAAAGTCATGCTAAATCTAGGTAACAGGCTTTCGAATTATAAATGGTTTTGGTTTCGCCCACTGGAGATTGTTTAAGTCAATTACGGTACAACCCTAGAACTAAATACAGAAGCCAAGAAAAACTCATTGTTAGAGACTCTGTGGCAGCAAGGTGGAAGGAAAAAGTCCTCAGTAAAAACGAGTAGGGTCTACCCAGTCCTCTTGCTGACATTATTCTTTAGAGGCAAGACATAGGCCACAAATAGCCGGTCTGGGGCCTGCTGCAATGGTCGATTTAGGTGTTAACTGGATGGGGCTGAGGGATGTCCAGATAGCAGGCAACACCTTATTTTTGGGTGTGTCTGTGAGGGCATTCTGGAAGAGATCAGCATTTGAATCCATTGAGTAAAGCAGATCCACCCTCTCCAGTGTGAGGGGGCATCACCCATTCATGGAGGTCCCAGATAGAACATGGAGGCAAAAGAAGGTGGACTTGCTCTTTGCCTCAGCTGGGACCTCGATCCCCTCCTGCTCTTGGCTGTGGGTGCTCCTGGTTTTCAGGCCTCTAGGCTCCTGGACTTCCATGAGGACCCCAGCCCCTCCTCCCCATTCCCAGGCATTCAGACTTGGTGTGAATTACACCATGGGCCTTGCTAGGTCTCCAATTTGCGGTGGGCACATGGTGGGATGGCTCAGCCTTCCTGATTGTGGAAATTAATTTCCATAATTAATCTCTCTGTGTGCATATGTGTGTGTGTGAACACATCTTAAATGCAGTACGGTTCTGCTTCTTTGGAGAAGAAGCCGATTCAGGGAAAATAACTCTGCCCTAAAAAGCTTCACACGTTCAGGAAGCGGAGACAGGCCATATCTAGGATACCCGGTAACACTCTGGCTTTCTGGCCAAAGACATGCTGTGTTAGAGAGAAGAAGTCCGAGAGCTGAGCTGCGGCTCTCAGCTTGTCCCTCCCTTGAGCAGACTTGGACCTGCCGCTCTGCTCACAGAGATGGCAAGGCCGTGGCCATGAGACCTGTGTCCACACAGTCACAGCCTGGCTTTCCAGATTTTCTGACTTTCACATGAGCTTTATTAACTTTACGCCAAGTACTTCTCCTTTTATTGAATTCTCTTTTTTACATTCAGTAAGAAATGTCAGTAAATATCTCCAAATTGGAGATTAAAAAGAAAATCTAGAGATAAAAAAAGTTGAGAAATATCTCCAGCTCTCACATTACTTTAGTGAGTGGCATTGTTTAAATCCTTCAGATCTTACTTCAAGTGTGCTTAGGCGATTTAAATGACTTCTCTGTTTAAACAGGATAAAAAGGACGAGGACTTTATGCAAATCAAAAATTTCCAACTTGGCTATTGCAGCCAGGAGTGATTGGAAACCGATCCTCTTCATGTTAGAAGGGGATACCTGGTCTCCTCATATCTTCACCTTTCAGATCCCCATGCTCCTTCTGTGGCCTGACCGACATAACACACAGGGTCATGCGTGTGGCTCCCAGGCAGGCAGCTGCCTTGGTCAATGTCTCTAATGTCCAGCAGGTTGAAAGTGAACTGAATGCTGCACATAGTCTAGGGAATGCCCCAAAGTAGGAACAAGGCAGATCTGCCCTACCATGGGGTGCAGTGTAGAACCCCAAAAGGGAAACAAACTGAGAAACAAAATGGATAGAATGCAAGTTAAAACAAGATCTGGAATAGTTGGTTGAAATATCACCAGGGCACTACCTATTGCACACACACACATGCATGCACACGCACACACACTAATCCTTCCAAAAAATGGAAGAACCACTAATTCCTTGATCTGAATTTTCAGACAGATACAGCATTTGTATTTGTCCTCAGGAGTGTGATTGCAGGTGGTGGTGCAGCGATGGCGCAGCATGGTGACTTGCCGGTGGTCGTATCGTGATGACACAGCTTTGCCATCATTTATTTGAAATGCTTTATTATTCTTCCCAGCTGATTCGCACCAGCTCCCCATCCTTCCCCATCTTCAGGCCCTCATGAGTACAGCACAGGCAACGAATACCGAAAGGGGAGTTGCCACCGGGTGATGAAAAGGGGAAATGTCAGGAGATGGGATGGTCCATAGGGTCTAACAGGAAATGCCAGCCGAGAATGCCCCAAGACCCCGTCTCATTTTAAAAGCCCATTTGGCATATGTACACAGGCCATGCTTCAAAATAAACAAGCTTGATATTCAGAGATCTAATTGTAAAACATGGAAACATGAATAGCTTAGTGTGATTGTGAAATGGAGGGGAATTGGAACTAAAGTGTGAGAACATTATTAAACAGCTGAAATGTGAAATAAATAATTATGCCCTTGTAATATAGATGTTAATTATTTGTAAAAAGGAAGTGTCTAATTTGTCTAGAAGGCATTGCAAAATTAATTTCTTAATTTTGACCACAGCTAAAGAAATCATAGTCAGTGTCTCAGTATTTTATCATCTACAGTCACCAAAAATAGAAATGTACAGCATTGCAGTGAATAATCTTATTAATATCTAACATTTAAGGTAAAGTTATTATTTTGTAATAGTCTTGATAATGTATTTATATAGATAATACATTGTATGGGCAACATATTTTACTAGGTGGTGTTTGCTGTTAACTCTCGTAAAATTACAAACTAACTTTGGCACTGTATTTCATATGATAGTCACAGAATCACAGGACAGTAACCCTGGATTACAAGTGGATGTTTTTGTTGCCTGTGGGTAGCACTGACAGGTTGCCCTGAGAAGGAATATGAGAATCACTTCCTGAAATGTGCTACATTTTGACCTAAATGGTGCTTATACACAGAAAATAATTCAGTGATATGTACATTCAATATTAAGGCACTTATGTAATTTACTGCCTAACTCAATAAATTAATAAAAAATCATAGCATTGAATTCTATAGCTAAAAGAAACTTTAGACATCAATTTATTGCATTTATAATGAAACCAAAACCCAGAGAATTTAGATGGCATTTCTAAGATTGCAAGAGCCAAGTCAGAACCTGGGCCGGGGACTGCAGGTGAGCAGCCTTTCATTCAACAATACCCTGCCTCCGTCCTTCTGGAAAAACATGACTCCAAGTCCCTCTCCTCGGCAGAGGCATTGGATGACAAGGTTCCCTTCAGGTAAACACTGAGATCCTTGAAATAGTTTCTCAATAATCTCTTCAGGCCGCAGGGAGGTTGCTGCCTATAACTAAGAAAATCGCAAAGAGTGACACATTTTCAGGACCATAATATCCTCTGGGCGGGAGGCTTGTCCTTGCCCCTTTCACGTTTCCAGAACCCTAAACTGTGCTGCGTAGCTGCAACCATCTCAGCCCTTACCCGCAGGAAGGCACTGGACTCACGGATTAGTTGAGCTCCAGGGGTGACACTCACCTGCAGGAAGGTTGCAGGCACCAATGTTTGTGCACTGCCTTTAATCCTTTTAAAGCAAAAAGATATCAACCCTTTCTTACTCCTTCTGCAATCGTTACATAACAGGTTTTCGTCTTGCACTTTAAAAATAAATACTTTAAGTTGTCGGTTTTCTGGGTTATGTTATTTAAAGTCAGATATTTATTTTGAAGTCATAAATGGGTGGAACTTAAAATCGCTTATAGGAACTTGTGAAGGCAAGGTGTGTTGTTAAGATTAATTTATAATGACACTGTTAATGACCTCGGTGTGATTTATGTGTGATGCTAATGTATGTTCTTGCTCTTCAACTTTCTTTAAAATTTATAACCATGGTTTTCCACTTAAAAAATGTCAACATTATTCCATTGGAAAATAATTAGCTTATTTCAATAGAAGAAGTATTTGTTATATTTTCTTGTGTTTAAGGAATAGCTTTTAAGTTTTCGTTGGGTGGGAAATCACTCCCCAAACCCTAAAATGTATATGGCAGTCTAAGTGCATGGTCCATGGAGCATTAGTTGATCCACAGAAATTGTAAGCGTAAGTTCTTTTCCTGGGATAACTCATTCATTTTTAAAAAATGGTCTCAAGAAGTATCATCTGTATTTTACTGAAATTCAAAGAGATTAGGGAACATGTCAACAGTCTAAGAGTAGAGTCAGGGTTCAAATCCAGACACTCCAGCTCTGAAGCCTCTACTTGGATTTCCTGGGACACAGAAAATACATCCTGTTATCATCATGCAGAAGAAAATGCAAATGGATTAATCTCATTTGGTAAAATTCGATGATATAAAATACGATATTGAAATGCAGCACTCTTGCTCCTGAAATGTGTCAGTGAGATAACTTCCTTACCTCTGTTTAAGACTTCTGCATTGAGACAGTTTGATCCACACTTTTGTAGACTCAGGAAAATGTACCTAAGAGACTGGTGCCATATTAGGATGATTATGTTCTCAGTTCTCCAGGATACTGTGTGATCTTTACCTGAGAATTGTCTGCATTGTCTCTTCTCTGATACTAGTGATGAAATGAGAGACATCATATTCACTGTAGCATCACCATCACCCGGCATCGTTTTCAGAGACGACTCTCACATCTATTTTTAAAATTTTCTTAACTTGCAATGACTAACCTTACTTCTACCTCAATACCAGTTGGCTGAGTGGTTAAGGAAGTGTGTGGTGCCCGTTGTTCTAGAATATGATAATAATATTTCTTACGGAGGGGAACATGTTACTATTGAATATTGACATTTTTTCCTTAGTAAAATATTCATCAAATGGATTAATGTGTGAGCATTTATCCTATTTTCCTATATAGAAAATGTGACTTTGTTTAAACACTTAACTTTCTAACTAATTGGTAAGAAAGATCAAAACAGAGTAAATTCAGGGGATCAAGATGCAGAGAGAAAAAATGTGGGTCAGAAAATGACAAGGTAGAAGCCTTCTGTAATCAGGGAGAAGAGCTCGGAGCTTGTCCTAGATTCTTAAAAACAAAAGAAAATAGAATTGGATGCCTGTTAGGTTCATGCAGCATCTGCTGTGGGGGCTGTGGCTGCTGACAGTCCTTTTAGAAAGTAGGAGCCTCCCTTGCTGACCATGCACTCTTTTCCCTGCGTGAATCGGCAGACTTGTTGTTTTTATTGAGTCTTTTTCTGTCTTCGCTGTCACTAAGCCTAATGTTAGCTTGGAAATAAAATGGAGAAATGCTCTTCAGACAGTTGGAATGGAGAAAACTGCAGTAGCTCCGTTCTTAAATGGCTCTGACTAATTACACACAGCCTGCCAGGCAGCTCCTGACCTGAGCCCAATGTACCAGCACACAGATGAGCCTTCTGACCTGAGGCTGGGAAGGCAAGCTGGCCTTCTGCCGCACTCTCCTTGTAAATGCCATCAAATGGCAGAAGAAATGAATTTGCCTGCCCAATTTGCTATTCTGCTACAATTTTCCTCTGGGTCTGCTCAGCCAGTTCTTTTGCAAGCTGTGATTTGAGGAAAGCACTAATGAGTAATTATATGGCTGGAGGGGGAAAAAAATGAGGACACCTTTAATGTGAGAGCATTTCCCCCTATTTGGTCAAAGTTGAGTTTCTTTGACTGACTTTTTCAAAGGGGCTGACGTGGGCACAGTTCTCTGATTTTCAACACTGCGACCGTTCTATTCTCCAGTGTACACTGAGCCAGGCTGTGTCACCCTTGTGTTTGCACACTGTCACTTAAAGTGCCCCATAAAACAGCAGGAGCTTACTGGGAATAGCTGATCTGTTTCCAGGTAATGGGATCTCTTCTTTCCAGGGCCATTAAAAGATACCCATTTCATAAAAAATGGTGGCTTACCAATGTCCTTGAGATAGATATTTCCTACTCTTGTTTATGGACCAATTACTCAGTTACATGTTTTTATTATTTTTGCCCTAAACGTTCTTGACCTTTGTTTAATGGTAAAAGCCAGTCCTTGGAAGGGAGCCCTGCCTCCGATGTCTGTAGGAGCTCCACAGAGGCTGAAAAGAATGCGAGGTTAGGCAAACTTTGAAGACACATAGACCATCTTCTGGGATGGAGAGTCACATGGACGTGCAGATGGAGCTGCTGGGGATGGATATCCAGCACTCGGAAAAAAGATTCTTACCTCAAACAGCAAAAGGAGTGCTGCAGCTCCCTCAAGGAGATTGCCTGAGTCCATTTTGTGTTGCTAAAACAGAACACCTGAGCCTGGGTAACGTATACACAACCAGAAAAGTATTTCTCACAGCCCTGGGGCTGGAACTCCAACATAAAGACATTGTCAGGTTCATTGTCTGGGGAGGGGCCCTTCCTCATGGATCTCGGTGTCCTCACATGGCTTAGGAACAAAGAGGCCAGGCAGCTTTCTGAAACCTCTTTTATGGGGCACTGATCCCATTCAGGAAGGTGAAGCCCTCAGAATTTACTCACTTCCCAAAAAGCCGCATCTATTATCACTATCCCCGTGGGGTTGAAGTCCCAACATGTAAACTTTGGAGGGATGCACGCATTCAAACCAGTGTTCTGGGTAATCGGTCCATAACAAGAGTCAGAGAAATACTTTTCAAGGACACTTGTAGGCAGAGATTATAGTAATCCTGACATATTTCCAAAGGATATTTTCCTTTCTGATGTGGAAAAGCTCTGGAAAGGAAAATACACTTCTGCCAATGGGTAAGGAGGATGTCTGTTCGTGTGGATGAAGTGGGACCAGCCCGGGAAGGACGCTCCTTCCTCTCTTAACGGTGCCATCTGTCACGATACACGGTGTGTTTGGGCTGACTTTTCCTGTGCTTCTGTAACGTGACTGTGCTTTCCTCGATGCTCCCCAGGGGGTGACTCTGTTTCCCGTCCCCTTGCAGAGCAGCGCCTGCTGATAAGCCTTCAGAGGACTTCGACTGAGATGTGAATTACTCAAACACTCTTTCCTTTGTGTTCTTAAACATCACGACATCCAGCTGTGGTGTACAGGGAAGATTTTACTGAGAATTGGGAAATATCCCAATTAGATACTTCCCAGTTCCACCATTAAACTTTTATGTCTTTAGGCAAAACAATTAACCTCTGTAATTCTCACCTGCACACCGAGAAACTTAAAAAAGATTTCTCTGATCCAATCAAAAAAGCATATGACAATTCACTCTTGTTAAACACAAAATGTACAAAAATGTGACTTTATCTTTAAATATATAATTTGCTGTTCAAAACAAGTAGCATTATTCTCTCCCAAACTCTATGATATCTGCAAATATTTTAGGAAATTTTTTCTGTCCTTCTTTTTCCAAATTCAGAAGCCTCTGGGCAATACCGCCCTCTGTGATTCCAGCAGCTTATACTGAGACTTGCAAAGCAGCCTTGGAGACACCAGCTCACGCTGTTTGACTCTGAGAAGCTTAAAGGGCTTAATACACTGATACACCTGGGATTGCTGTTTCTCTGCTGGAAGGCCTCACATTTCTGTCTGTCCCTTCTGGGCACCAAGACCTTAATTAGAAGTTTAATGTACAATAAAGCGAATAGCTTTATCTGTGACTGCCCCTCAATCTTCCCAGAAAAGGGAACATCTCATGTTCCTTATTTTTTCACATTTCTTTCTCTGCATCTGAACAGAAAATAAAAATATAACAGAATTTATTAAAGTGCCATTTGCATTCTGATTTTCATCTCTGTCACTGATCATGCTTTTACTTTCATATGAGCAAGTTGCTAATCTTATTTGTCCCTGTTTCCCACATTCCCCATCAAACTAATCATACCACTTCCCTTTCACAATGTCCGCACCTTTGGCCAGCCAGGTTTAAAAAAAATTGTTCTTTCCTTTCATTTGAATGGCACTGTGCTCATATGCTCTTGAAACTTGTACTTGTGCCTGGGTTTCCGAATTTGCCAATTAGATTAGATAACTTTCTTAAGGACATCTTTGTTTAATTTATCTTTGCTTCTCATATTTCACCTCCCTGTACAACAAACACAAAAAGGCCCAATTATGCATGTATCTTAACTGTTTGTGTTTTTATTTTTATTTCTAAAGATTGAGTTCCAAGGTTGTGGAACAAGAAGAACATGAAAATAAAAACACTGTTCAGGCCAGGCGCTGTAAAAATCCCCGCACTTTGGGAGGCCAAGACAGGCGGATCACTTGAGGTCAGGAGTTCGAGAACAGCCTGGCCGACATGATGAAACCCCATCTCTACTAAAAATACAAAAATTAGGGCGGTGGCACATGCCTGTAATCCCAGCTACTTGGGAGGCTGAGGCAGGAGAATTGCTTGAACCCAGGAGGTGGAGGTTGCAGTGAGCTGAGGTCACGCCACTGCACGCCAGCCTGGGCAACATAGCAAGACTCTGTCTCAAAAAAAAAGAAATTGTTCAGTAATAATGAGTACGCCAATGTAGACTATAGATAAGAATTCTGGCAGGTATATAGCAAAAAATATGTATATGTGGATCTGTATATCAGGGCTTTATGTGTGAGAATAAAGATTATTTTGAACCTATACTCAGTGCAACATTAATTTCTAGAATTTACTTAATAATATTGTGGCTCATCAAATTCCAAATAATTCATTGCAGCAGTGAATAAAAAATAATTTCATAATCCTCTGAAGAATTTAGAAATTATATCGCATTTACTTTTCTTATAGATAAATAATTATTCAAGGTTGGGAAGGCAAGGCATGATTTTACATTTCGGCATCTATATCCTTATATCCCTTATTCCAAAGCTGGGTTCTTTGACATGTTATTTACATGCTTTTGGTAGGTGCAAATTTATAGAAGTTTTCATACATGTGTCAGAGGCATCAGTGCCAATTTTAATTAAGATGCACGACATTTGCATCACCCCAGAAAGTTCTCATTCCCCCTAGTTAATTCTCCCTGCAGCCCCAGGTCCTGGACACCACAGATATGATCACTGTCCCTAGACTTTTGCTTTATGAGAATGTCACAAAAGGATCCAGGTGGCATGTGTCCGCTCTTTTCAATGTCTCCTTCCTCCACTTAGCTTAATACTTTTGAGATTAATCGATTTCAGTGGCTATTTCTGCATATTGCCGAGTAATTTCTCTTGTATAGGTGTACCACAATTTACAAAACCATTTAACAGTTTGAACTTCAGATTTCCCCCTCAACATTTGACTATTAATAAAATTGTATAAACATTGACCTATAAGTCTCTGTGGAAAATGCTTTTATTGCCTGTGGGTAAATATCTGGGAAAAGGATTGCTAATTTTATTTTAAAAACTGCCAAACTGTTTGCAAAGTGTTCAAGCCACTTTCACTATACTTCACCAGTAAGAAATGAGAGTTCCAGTTGCTTAACATCTATACCAGCATTTGATGTTGCTAATGTTTGTTTTGTTATATTTTGTTTCATTCCTTGCATGGAATGGTAATTTATTTGCAGTTTTATTTGCATTTCCCTATAAAATAAAGATGTAGGGCATATTTTCATATATTTTTTTTGCCACCTACTACTCTGTTTTGGTGAAATTTCTCTTCAAATTTTTAACTCCTCCCCTCTATTTGTTGGTGTTGGGGGGTTGGCCTGTTGCCTTTCTGTTACTGAATTAGTATTATTTTGTAAGTACTTTATTAGATGATGAGTTTTAAAAATGGCTTATCAAAATCTAGTCCTTTTTTTATTTCTATAACGGTGTCTAAGAACAAAAAATGGGTACTTTTGTTTATGTCACTTTTTTTTATGAGTTGTATTTTTTGTGTCCCCTATAAAAAGTATTTACCTAATCCAAGATTACAAAGATATTCTTCTGTACAGTCTGAAAGAATTTAAAAGCTTTTGATCTTTACATTCCATGAGATGATTTGGCTCGAGTTAATTTTGTATAAGGTGTGAAGTAGAGTTTTCCATTTCACTTTTGTGTATTTCTGTGTGCCAGCGTCATTTATTACAAAGACGATGCTTTCTCCATTAAATTCACTTGGCAACATTGACAAATATTTTGAAAGCTGCAGTAGTTTTCTTTTGAAATTTCTATTCTGTTCCATTTACGTCTGTCCAAACTCAGATACCACATTGTCTTGGTTAGTGTAGTGTCATCGTTATATTACATCTTAAATCAGGCTATTATGGCTATTTTAAAAGATTTAGTTTTCCATTTAAATTTTACAATTGGCTTGTCAATTGCTCAAAATGCATACTGAATTTTTTATTAAGATGCTAGGAAGTATATATCAACTTAAAGATAACTGGCATATTAAAAGTAGAGAGCCTTCAGATCCAATGAACAAAGTATATTTCTCATTTATTTATGTCTATTTAATGCCTCTCATCAATGTTTTGTAATTTTTAGCCTATGGACTTTGTGCATATTTATTTAAACATTTCTCTAAGTAATTAACGTTTGTTGATGATATTGTGAGTGACTTTTTTTAAATTACAATATCAAAATATGTGTTGCTAGTGTATAGATAGAATGGTGGTAGGATTTTTAATCCTGCAATTTTTCCAAAGTCATTTGTTAATTTAAGCAGTTTCTTTTGTAGATTCATTTGGATTTTCTTTATTAAGAAAAATATGCCATTTCTAAATAAACTCTGTTTGATGTATTCCTTTCTAATTCAAACAATTTTGATCTATATTTTTCTTATTTTACTGGAAGGAACATGTAGTACAATACTGAGTAGAAGTAGTGAGAACAGACCTTCATGAGATTCCCAGTCTCAGATTGAAAGCTCTCAGTCCTTCCTTGGGTCTGATATTTGCTATAGGTTTTGTGTAGATTCACTTTGTCATACTGAGCTAGTTTCCACATATTTTTATATGACTGGGTGTATATATATGTACACACTCCCAATAATTATATTGAGTTTGTTAATATGGTGAATAATATTAATTGCTTTTTGAATGTTGAAATAAATCTTGTCTCAAACTGGGATAAACTCCTAATTGTTTATGATAGAATATCTATTTCATCTATCACAGGATTTGATTTGCTAATATCGTGTTAAGTACACTGTTACATATACGTTCACAAGCGAACTTAGTCTGAAGTTTTCTTTTCTTTTCTTCTGATTTTGATATCAGGGTAATGTTTGTCTCACAATATTAGTTGGGAAATGGTCCCTCTTCTGTTTTCTGGAAGACTGTTTCCAGAATTAGAATAATTTTCTCCTTAGGTTGTTGAAGGAATCACCCGTGGAGCCGTCTGGGACTGGAGTTTTTTGTGAAGGAGGGTTTTTAACTAAAGCTGCATTTACTTCATAAATATAGGACAATTGGGCTTATGTATTTCTTCTTGAATATGCTTTGGAAATTTGTATCTTTACAAAATTTTTCAGGGTGTTTATACTATTCTCTTATTTTAAATGTCTGTGTTGATGGTGGTGATGGCTCTTTGATGTTTATCTCGGTCATTTGCATCTACCACCCACCCACCAACCATTAGACTGCTTAACTTTTGTTTTCATTGATTTCTCTATTGCTTTTCTCATTTCTATTTTATTGATTTCTATTCTTCTGGGCTTCGTATACATAGGTGAACAATGTTAAAGCTTAGATGATTTACTCAAGGGCTCTCTTCTTTTAAATATAAGCATTTAATGTTGTAAATGTTCTAAGAAGCCCGGCATCGGCTGTATATTACAAATTTTGAAATTTAGTATTTAATTTTTATTCAATTTAAAATATTTTTAACATATCTTATGCTGTTTAATTTGTAAGTTTTGGTGATTTTTCAGATATTTTCCTGTAACTGATTGCTAATTTTATTCTTTTTGGACAGAACCATACATTGCATGATATTCTCTTTCCTCTCTTGGTACAAGTTCAAAGTACATTGGAAAAAAAAAAGTGTATTCTGCTCTTGTTCAGTGAATGTCCTGAAAGTATCATTTAGATGAAGTTGGCTAATAAAATTGTTCAGACCAATTATTGGTCTATTTGTTTATCAGTTACTGAGAATGTTCGCTGCAATTTCCAATTACAATTATATTTTTTATCTTCATACATTTAGTTATATTAGCTGTTGCTCCAATTATTTTACAGCTGTATAGTTTACTGCATTTGAATTTAGAATTATTATATTTTCTTGGTAAACTTTCATTGTTATCCTTATGTAATATCCTTTTTTACCACTGGTAATTATATATTTGATTTACTTTTTCTCATATTAATATAGCTACTCCAGATTTCTTTCAATTAGTGTTTCCAGGCAACATTTTCCATGTGTTTATTTCACCTATGTCTACATATTTAATGTAATATGATTTTTATAGAGACCGTATATAACTGGATGTTATATTTTATTCAAACAGACAAGTTCTTTTTCTTTGGATTGATATATTTTCACCTTTTAAAATTAATGAAATTATTGATATTTCTTGATGTAAATCTTCCATCTTACACATTGCTTTCAATTCTTCCTATATCTATTTTTCTTTTCTTCTACCTCCTTTTGGAATAGTTATGTGTTTTTCATAATTAAATTTTATCTTCTATATTAGATTTAAAAGCAAAGGAATGATAATAGATAAAATAATAATTCACAAGAGAAATAAGTTGGATATCAGAAGTGTCCATTTGATTACAGTTCATCACGAGACTATGCACAACTCTCAATGAAGATCTTGAACTTTCTCCAATTTTATATAACCACTGATGTCAATCATACCCAAATTCCAGTGGGTGAGTGTGGAGACCTTGCCTGATATCTGGCTGATAAGTAAAATCACAAACTCTGTAGAACTCATAGTCCTGGAAAAAAACTCATAAAAGCTAAATAAGATGTAAGGAAGCAGCCTAAGTCTTAAGCCTGCATGAAGCATTCTCAGATTGCACTGTGGACATCGAGCTTTCCTGCCCCGCACTATAAAATCTAAACCACCCATCCTGCACTGTAAAATCTAAACCATCCATCAGATTGCACTGCAGACATCAAGCTTTCCTGCCCTGCACTGTAAAACATAAACCACTCATCAGATTGCACTGTGGACATCGAGCTTTCCTGCCCTGCATTGTAAAATCTAAACCACCCATCAGATTGCACTGTTGACATCGAGCTTTCCTGCCCCCCACTGTAAAATCTAAACCACCCATCCGGCACTGTAAAATCTAAACCACCCATCCTGCACTGTAAAATCTAAACCATCCATCATATTGCACTGTGGACATCGAGCTTTCCTGCCCTGCACTGTAAAATCTAAACCACCCATCAGATTGCACTGTGGACATCGAGTTTTCCTGCCCTGCATTGTAAAATCTAGACCACTCATCTGGCAAACACCACCTTTGCTCATCTCAGTTTGCTATTACAAAGATAACGTCACACCTTCACTGAAGGCAAAGAAATTTTCAATTTCTCCATTGCAGACACACAGTGCAATCAGTGTCAATTGTTATGGTAATTTAATTATTTTAATAAAAGCAAGTTCCAGAGAGAAATGTATGATATATTCAGAAAATACACTTTAGTTAATCTTTTATTCCAGCTTTCAATGGAGTTTGAGGCATTCATTCAATAAATATTTTTATGTGTTTACTATGCACAGGTCTTACTTTTCTAAGTGTAACTGTGCAAGACATAGAGAAGTGAATTGATTCTTTAAGTTCAAGAAATATATTATCTTTTTGTCTCTCTTCCTTTCCATATATAAAACACAAAAAGACAGATGATAGATAGATAAAGAGGCAAATTAATAGACATGCAGGTAAATAAATAGAAGGCCTGAAATGCCTACAGGCTGATTAGCGGAGGGTTAACTCACATTCTGTAAGGTTTGCATTAGTTCTCCTGTAGTGCTATTTCTTTGAAAGTTGCCGCTACATGCAAAACTTGATTAGAATATCTAATGAGGGTGTGCATTTATCAGCATATCCCACAAGTATGTGAAGAACAGAGGTGAGTCACTGCCCTTTCTCATATGAAATATTAATCTTTTGAACAGATCTAAACTACATAATGTAATGCATTAGAGACTTTTAGTGCTTTTATACCAAAAACAATCGTAATTGTACATTAAATTATATGTAGAGAAACATAATATATGGTTAGAGTTCACCGTCAATAAAAAGTGTGGGAAAATGGACACTACTCAGGAAAATATTTTAAAAATTCTCAAATGCATTATTTGTTGATATTAACACACACAACAACATAAAAACTGAAAATAAACATTCTCTATTCCTTGAAATAAGTCTAAAAGCCACACCAGAAATAGTAAATGATGTAATTTATGAAATACAATGACGAAAACTTTACCTAACCTGATATATTTTAATATACCTCACTTAGTGTTATTTGGTACTCACAAAAATTTTTCCTACTAATATATCACGAAGATTAAACATATTACTATATGACTATTAAATTTCAGCCAAGATGAGGATTTTAATATGGTTTTAAGGCTTGGTGCAGTTTTTCATAGGTGTCGGTGGTAAACCATATATTTTTTTCTACACAGTATAGCACAATGTTTTTAATACCTAAATGTCAGTATTTAAAGGTATTTCTCAAATAATTGAAAATAAGAGAACACATAGATATAATCTGAATCTAGAATAAAAACCTATTCTTACAAAATTAAAATTTGGAAACTTGTTTGGCCCAAAGACAGCAAACGACTTAATGCCCCAGCTAAAGATTCACAAAGACATATAGCAGCAGACAATGTGAAAGATGAGACAGAGAATTCTCATGTGCGGTACTTAGAAGTATTTATTCATGGTAGTAAACCTGGTGTTTATACATGTAATTATTTAAAAAAAATCTGGTATCTAGAGGAGTCTGACACACACATGCTTCTCTCATTAACTGATAGACCAAAGAGAGGGTGCATTCAGTTACAGTGTAGAAGATATATTTAAAATACAATTATCAAGCTTGAACTAGTGAAAAGTATTAGAATCCCTCTACCAATAATTAGAGACTGAACATTATTCTCATATACAAATGGAGCACTTAATATTGATGTCTTAAGAAAAGAGTCTCCAAGTAATCACCATGCAGATCATTTTCTAATCACCTTTCAGTCAGAAACAAATTTAAGAGAAAACATACGAATGAAAAATTTAAAATATCCTTTATAAAGAAGCTCATTGAAAATGAATGCTCATGAATTAAATTATAATGTACTTATGACTAAATGAAAAGGAAAATATTGATTTTCAAAATAGATGGGAGGCAACTGAAATGATATTCAATGGCAAATTCAGAACCTTAAATTCAAGGTCAGCATAAAAGAAAAGCTGAAACTTTAGAAGTTTTTTACTTTGAAGGTTATTTCAGAACAGAAAATAAAACTCAGGAAAGTAAAAGAAAAAATACTGCTGGGAGAAGAAATTAATGAAAAATTAATGAAGAGTAAATAGAAAGCGTTTAAATGGCAAGTCAGTTGTTTCTTTGAACGACTCACAAAATATATGAATCTCTCATGGGGCTCACTAAGAAATAAAAGATAAAATGCACAAACATATAGTATTAGAATTGAATGTATAGTTCTGCAGTGTTAAATAAAACACAATCTTCCCCAAATAAAACAAAACAAAATAACAACAAAAACATTTCTACATCCTGAAGTTTTGAGGTGAAACTATTCAAGTATCATATTATTCTAATGGAGTGTAAACTCTTCCAGAAAAAAAATAAGAAGAGTAAATACCACTCAGTTGACTTCATATTTCAATTCAAAACATGATAAAAATTTGACACTACCTTAAATAATGAATGTACATACACAATATTAAAATGAAATTACAAACCACATCCAACGATACCTATAAAAATAATACTTAAACTATGCTAGATATTTTGTGTATTATTTTCA
This sequence comes from Homo sapiens, assembly GCF_000001405.40. NCBI lineage: Eukaryota > Metazoa > Chordata > Mammalia > Primates > Hominidae > Homo > Homo sapiens. The sequence goes on from NT_187576.1 coordinate 948,200, forward strand.
TATAGCATGGATCAGTTGAGTTTATCCCAGGAATGTTATTTAAAAATAAAATATATTAATAATATTTACCATATTAATATATCAATGAACAGAAACATTATAATTGTTTTATTACATACACAAAAGTTCCATGAGATGCAACACTCATTTATTTCTAAATATGGAATCAAATAAGCCAAGAAGATAATATCTTTCACTAATAAAAATGATCTACTAAGAATGACATCAAACATTATGCTTAATGTTTTAATATGAGAATCATTTCTTTCAATATTAAGAACTGGAAAAGGATACACACTTTTACTATCTTTATTCAATATTGTACTTCACGTTTTACTTCAGTGAAATAGGCAGTAAAAATAAAATATAGATATATAGGCATTTGTGAGTCCATATTTTTATTTCTGGCAAATATTATAGTTTACATAGTAAATTACAGAGAATTTACAGACAAGTTATTAGAAATTATAAGGAGCCCTTATCAATGTTACATGACATAGATCAAGGTACAAATGTGAATTGGTTTTCTAAACCCATCAATGAGCAAAATTAGAAATTTTGAAAAGAATGCTTTTAGAAAAGAAGTACACATAATCAGTGGCAAGAAATAAATGTAACAAAAATTTCATAAACTTCATGCAAAAAAAACACCTGTAAAAGATTATTAGAAGGACAAAATAGTTAAAGACCTAAATAACAAAAGAGACATAGCTTTATGGATAATAAAATATTATATTCAAGGATGCCAATTCTTCCCAATACAAATCAAAACAATTTGGTGTCTATTTAGAATATGATTATATTGGATCTCTCTCTTGCGCTTTATAACAAAGTAAATTTCACTAAATATAGAAGTATGCTAAAGATGGAAGAGGAAAAGCAATAAAGTAAGAGAATAACTGGAAGAAAATCTAGGTGACTACGTGAACTTTCCAGGAGTTAGACTGGTGTTTTAATCCAAGAACAGAAACACAGAAGCTGCTAAAGAAAATAGAGACATGAAATATACAATATGTTTTAAAGTAGCAAACAAAAACCTCTAAATAAATAGGAAAAATATACTTAGTGGGGAAATTGCAACACGGGAGCTTGTTGTAATATATAATTTATAAAAGACAAACAGCAGCTCTTACAGATTGTCAAGGATCAATGAGCAAGTGGACAAATAACAAGAATGAGCAGTCTAGCGATGAGCACTCGGATAATTTAAAATTTAAAATAGATGCAAAGTGTACAAATACTGACTCATACTCAGGAAAGGTCAGGAAAAACATTACATATTTCCTTGTATCTAATAAATTGTCCAAAATAGAAAGCTTCAATATTTTTTTAATTTTGTAATACTTTTACAAAAGATTGTAATACTTTTACAATCTTTAAAGATGCAAAGAAACATTTTTTCTTATGATTGTTAGTGGAAATGTAATTATTAGAGCCATTTTGGACAATACTATGTTAAAATATATTTAAACAATTAAAAATCTAGAAATTCTATATCAGGTGATAGATTTAAACATACATTATTAAAGGGAAGATGAGAGCAGCAATCATACTAAAAAGTGTTTGGAACTCTACAGAATCTATCATAAAACAAGAGAGGAATTACAATGTCAAAGTACTGTACACAAAAAAAAATGCATACGTAGACAATTCCTGCAATAAACAGGCGAAAAAGCATTCCCTAAAACCCCGTAAAAAAATTAGGATTGCTGAACCTTCTAAAGCAGTAAGCACCACTTGGGAATAAATAGTCGCTGTGCCCAAGTAAGGGGAGAGTAAAAAAGAAGTTATTTTCTTCTGAGCTGGAACATTCAAATACTACCAACAGATGCTCATACTCCCAAGACGGGTCTCTTCTCCAAGAGGAAGGCTTGGGTGGTGGGTCTAAAGGGAACTGTGAGGAGGAAAAGGGGGCTTCAAGGCTCTAATCATGCAGGTACAGGGACATTGTGGAGAGTGCTGGGTGACATGCCAGCGGTGGTCAGAATCCTTACAGCCCTTCCAAAATAGCAGCACCCAAGAAAACTACAAGGAATAAGTCAAAAATTGGCAAGGGCAGGGTTGTTGGGGATAAAAGCAGAGGTACAGCCATTAATAGGGAAGAGGATCAAGAGAGGCAGACATCAGAAAATACTCAAGAGGTGGATAAACTAGGGGGCAATTTATTGGAATATACCATGATAATAACAGAATAGAGAGCCACAGAACTGCAAAACTAGAAAAGACATCTGCCCAACACAGCTCCCACACCATCTTCTCGAAAATATAGAAAACACGTCTTACTTATATGTGAGCAAGAGTGAACAAGCACAAATAAAACCCATTACATTGACGTTATAAGAAAATTTTAAAAGGAAGTAATTTTTCCAAAAAAAAATTACATACAAAAGTGAAGACGACCTGAGGTATATTTCCATGATGTAGAGAAAAACTGAAATCCAATATTTAAAATAAGCTAAAATATATTTTAAAAGAAAGAGAAAATAACCAGTAAAAGGACAAGCATTACAGAAAAAAAGAATTAGAAAAGCTCAGATATAATATGATAAAGCAACCAGAAGACATGAAAAGAGTGTTGACAGATTATCAGAATCAGAAATTTAAAAATAAAATTCAGCAATTATATGTAAGCTAGAAGAAACACAAGAGCTGTGAAACACCTGAGAAATACTGCAGGGAGGAAAAAACAGAAAGGAGAAAATAAGGAAATCAAGCAGAACTGTAAAAATAGATAAAAACTTTAAAAGAGAAAATGTTAGACGTAGAAGACAAGCAAAGACGTTTGAGTATCAGTATAATAGCAGACCCCACAGAAGAATTAAAATAATGAAACGGCATAAATGATAAATACTACCCTTCAAAACATTACATTGAAAAAATAACTTTGAACCACCAAATTAACACTTTATTTAATGAAACTGAGAAAGTTGACCCTGAGAGAATTGCTGTACGCGAATAAAAATAAAGCAAACACAGTATACTTTGGGCATCCAGACCAGAAAAAAAAAAATCCAACTCATTTAGGAGGAAACTAAGTCATACCTATATTTGATTTTTTGATAGCAAACTTTAAGCAGAAAAAAATGGGTGAAGATATTTAAGATAGTCAAGATATTGAAGATACTCCATTATTCTAATAACAATGTTAATGTTGAAATTTGATAGATTATGTTATATTCACTATTTCCATGCAGCAAATTCCACAGTTTATATAGTGCTGTCAATAGACAGTATTTGTTATATCATAACTCCTCTAACAAAACCAACCAAAACATGGCAGTCTTGTATGCATCAAATAATTTGTAAGTAGAAAAATAATACTTAGCATCCAGATAATATTTTTATATATTTACCTCTTGGCTTTGTGTCAATGGAGGTCAACTACAATCCTTGAATCATATTTTTTTCTCCAATAACTAGAATAATGCTTGACAAATACTTTTAAATTAATAAGTATCTATGATCGAAAAAAACCATAAAATCAATATGTCAATATGTAAAATATTGAAATAGCATGTAATGACACTAGAGTTACACAAAACAACTCCCATAATTTTTTTTCTGGATAGTGAGTGTGTCAAACATAAATCTTATCCTTATCAACGATATTCTTGGTCAACCTGCATTCAGTAACTTGCTTTCATGGCTGGTGGCCAACAAGTTACTCACCCTCACATAGCTGGATAGTACTGAAGTTTCTGACTCCTTTTAGCACATCTATTAATAGATGTCAATAAAACTTTCCATGTAAAACGTGGGATATTATATCCAAAAGAGCCAGAAACAACCTAGAGGTTCAGAGTTATGGTGGAGCAAATTTGAACCAATATGAAACAAAGGACAGGAGAGGATCAGGCAGATACATGACTCCTTCCTTTCCTCTCATGAGTGTGTGCAGAGAAATGGATTTTCCTTGATGACCAATCTTTTGTGTCTCCTGTGACATATTTATAAGCAGTAGTGAGTACAGTAATGTATTGATTTCCATTACTTTTTTTTTTTTGCAAAACTTGTTCTTCATTCTTGCTGCCTAGAATTGACAATTGTCTAATAATGCATCAGTACTTAATAAATGCACTAGTCTGTCTTTTTAAAGATAACTCTATTAAAGACAATTAGAGTTGGAAGAGATTCCACAAAGCAGGACCATTTGGAGAGCATTAAGAACCCACTGCTGGTTATAAATGAGATGTTAATAAGCTTTGCCATTTTATGGCATAAAAATTTCACAAGATGGTCACCTGTGGTTAATTAGCAAGAAGTTCAGGTGGGAGATGAAATAAAAGGGGTCTTAACTGACTTAAGAAGAATGGTAATTATAAAGTAAACTTTTTCAGTGTGCTTGATCATACTAGAGAATTTGAAAAATGAAATAAGTTCATGCCACAAAAATACCAAATTCAAGCAAATTCCAAAAAGCCAGATGGCCATTACAGAAGGTTTAAAGGAGACGTATATATATCTTGTGAATGCATCAGCCCATGTTGAAAATGAGGCCAATGATCTGATTCCAAGAGTAGCAGAGCTGAAAGGACACTAAATGCATACATGCAATAAGTTTACCTTGTCAATGCTGAAAAATGATGAAAAAAGTATGAAACACTGACATATTGAATGGGACATTTGAATAGAAAAAAACAGAATTTTAAACTTCCAAATTTCCTTAAGTTCCCCTGGCCAGCAAAATTAGCTCTTTTTCTCCCAGAGAATACTATCTTTGCATAGAGATCGTGTGATGATCTCAAACAAAGCAGGCTTAAAAAAATCCTTAGGATCTGTATTATTTTTCCTATTGAGTTTTGCCAGAGGATATATACAAGATAATTTCTTTCTCTGGACCTTATTAAAACTGGCAGCCTTCATTCATTACTAGCTGCCACTCAAATGGGGTGTGTATTGTTAACAAAATTCACAGAAAGTGCAACAAAGTATTATTCACATTGAAGGTCTTGTGCTAAAACATACTCCCAGCCACTGGATTTCCATTACTTGTATCAAGTAACCAGTCACTAAATTTTTGCAGACTGATCTTCCACTCTTGTGATGAGGATTCCTCCTGAGCTCTCTAAGATAATTTGCTAATAACTACTTATCAGGTCGAATCACTTTTGAGATCTTCAATGTACAGGATTAGAGTGATGTCCAGTGGGATGTTAAGCTCACCACATTTCTCTGTTGTAGACTGGGAGTCTGCCAGTTATGCCCTGCAGTCAGCCTGCTTGATTTTGTATATAAAGTTTTATTAGAAAGTAGCCAATCCCATTCGTTCTGTATGTTTACTTTTCAGCTGTTACAGAGTTGACTAGTTGAGCCAGAGATTGTGTGGACTGTAAGCCTGAAATACATATAATCTGGTCCTTTAAGAAAAGCTGGTTAACCCTTAGCCTATATTGTGATATAGAACGGAAGAATTGGTACTGTTCTAAGCAGAACAATAAAGGAGCACTCTTTTCTCCTCTAAGTGGAGGAATATTTTCTGGTAGTTCTTGCACATTAGTCTGGAGGCAAAAAAAAAAAAAAAATGGTTTTTGCCATACGGATGACTCTAAGCTAGGTACCAGGGGCTGTGCTTACTGGCATTAAAGTAAAGACATATGAGGCAGCAACTGCAATGACACAGAAGTAACCCTTGCTTTAGCTTATGATGGTGGTTATTCTCTAATACTTAACAACCTTCTACAGTGACATATTCAGCAAATTAAATGGAGATGCCCCATCCCTGCATCTCTGAAATCTCTGAATGTGGCACTAATCTGCAATTCCTGTAAAGATGCAGTATTTCTTTGGTTTACTGTCCTGGTAGAAAGACGTTTAATCAGGTTCCACTTAATTTTGCTATATAATTGCCTTCACTCCAAAGATAAGGGGGCCAATAGGAGAATTCTCCTGGCTGCCAAGTACGTGCATTGTAATTAGCCACCTTCTATGGAAACTACACATGGACGGTCTGCAGCGCTGCTTAGATCCCTGTGGCATAGGCTGGGGCCAAATTTCCAAATGATACTTAATCACCATAGTTCCACAGTTTGACTTTGGGACCCCGGAACAATGTCATGTATATATACTCTAGGTCTTCTTTAAGTCTTCTCCAAATAAACCTACCTCCAGGAACTAGGGTATTTGTACATTGGAGAAAGAGAAACTCCTCAGTTTTGGGGGGATTAGTAAATGCTTGAAACAAGTTGATGTTAGTTCCTGGTGACCCAAGGTCAAATTAGGGGATAATGGGGATCAAAGACAAATGGAATTTTGATTCAAGTCTGTGGGTCTCAGTGATCACACAGCAGGTAAAAAGTGATATCTCATCCCGAGCAGCCACAGGTGTGGGTCAACGCGATGTTACTTCACACTATGGGATACATGAGTTGCATTTCCAGCAGCAAGAAGCCAGGAACCACATTAAAGACCAAGGACATTTGACCTGGTGCAGTGGCGCACACCTGTAAGCACAGCACTTTGGGAGGCCAAGACAGGTGGATCACTTGAGGCCAGGAGTTCGAGACCAGCCTGGCCAACATGGTGAACCTTATCTCTTCTAAAAATACAAAAATTAACCAGACGTGGTGGCAAATTCCTGTGGTCTCAGCTACTTAGGAGGCTGAGGCAGGAGAATAGCTTGAACCTGGGAGGCAAAGGTTGCAGTGAGCCAAGATCACGCCACTGCATTCCAGCCTGGGTGACAGGATGAGACTCTATCAAAAAAAAAAAAAAAACACAAAGGAAAAAAAAAAAAAAGGAAAAGAAGAAGACCTAGAACATAACCAAAGTGATCTCAGAATCCTGCCTTTTAATTTTGTTTCCTGTCCAAGGAAATCTCCCATGACTGTATCAATCAGGAAAACAGAGAGTACATCAGGTATTTCAAACAGAGAGGGTTAATACAGGGAATTGTTTTCAGACATGTTAGAAAATTAAAAGACTGCCAAAAGGAGATCATGCAGACATCCCAAAGTAATAACTGCAGGAAATAGCTGCAATCTTCATGGCTTGGGGGAAAGTGGTAATTAATAAAACCTGAGAGCTCTGAGGAGGAGCTCCCACAGACTCGGTGCTCACCCTGGGAGGGAGGATGTGAACCGCTCTTTCCTCAGGAACATGGACAAGGGTCCTGGGAGGTTGGTGCTCAGGTGTCTGAGTTGAAACACTGCGGCAACTGCTTCTTGGACCTCTGTGGGTATCTTAGACTTCCACACTGAGTCAGATTCCAGAAGTTAAAAGGAAACTGGATTCTGAAGAGGGGCTACTGTTGGAACCAACAGCTGTTCCCAGGACCATGCTACAGAACAGGAAAACAGGAAAGAATAACCTCCTTCTTCTACCTACTCTCCTGCACTGACCGAACCCCGCAGAAAGGCATCGAAGAAATCTCGTTTGCAAAATTTACACTTCTGCCACATACAGGAGGGTAACTTTGGAGCTCGAGGAAACAGGCAGGTATTCAGCAGCATGCAATCTAAGTTTTGTTTTTGAAAGACCAAAAGCTCTGGTTGTTGCGTAGAAAATAAACCATAAGAGCAAGACAGGAAGGAAGAAGAAAAGTCTTCATTAAGCTACTGCATTTGTGCCAGATTATTAAGTAGAGGGAAGATAGGAGAGAATGCTGAAACTTAAGAATGTCTTTATAAAATCGTGTGAGAAATAATATTTTGGCAAGCGAAGTTCTCAAAACAAAGGCTAAACGCATAATAACAAATTGCACACACATTGCCTCTTGTAACTTATTAATGAAAGATTGTGCTGCTGAAGAATTATCTCAGTCATTTTTACAATGAAGAGGATCTGAGTAATGTCCCCATGGTGAAGCTGGCACATTACTGTTTGCTAACTAGGTCGCATGATGGATACTGCTGCATTCTCAATTCCTCACTGAGCCAGAGGGAGGAAAATCACCACTTCAGAAGGATAAGTAATTCAGTCCTTAACTCTGCAGCTGCGAACCCATTTTGAGTCTAACCTGTTCTCATCTTTGGGTTCAGACATGTTTACACATGCCAGCATTTGCGGGGATGGGGTTGGGGACACCAGGGGTATATGTCCATAAGGAACTAGAAATAATTCATTGCAAAGAAAGAAAAATTAAAACCTAAGAGTTTGACTCAGTAACAGCAACTGAAATATTTTGAGCCCTTATCAAGGGGCAGATTCTGTGTTAACTGCTTTATGTGTGTTAGTGCCTTAACCCTCACTGCTGCAGGATTGCTGATATGATGGGGCCAGCTCTGGAGATAGGAAGACAGGTTCAGTGGGTTTAAGTACCTTGTCTATCATTGCACATTTCATAAGCTTCGGGGCTAGAGGTTGAACCTCGATTAGCTCCAGACATCACACATTTATCCACAAGAGCAGGACCCCTGGAGAGTGTTGAAAATGTGCTCACACCTCCTACATCCAGCGCCTTGGGAGACGCCCAGCACCTGACTCTGTGGCTTGTGCTGGCACCGTGGGGCCCGTCTTCTTGCTGTCACCACCATGTGAAGAAGCTCAGGTCAGCCTGCTGGATCCTGGAAGGCTTGTGGCCCAGCTCCCCTTCCACTCTGGCCAACAGCCTGCTAATCACATGCATGAGCATGTCCTCGGTCAGCCAGCCCTGGGAGAGCTCACCGGCTGACCTCAAGCCTACAGGCAGACCCTTCAGAGATCAGCCCAGCCTTTCTAGCACAGAAGAGCCTCCTGGTCAGCCCACAGAACATACAAATACCGTACATCGGCCTCTAATCAAGACGAGGAACCAGACTCAAGGTGTCCAGGGGTGGGTTCTGAATAAGATGCCCCTTGGATTTTTCCCTAGTTAACAAACGACATGAGGGGCCTCAAACAAAAGGGACAGAAATTACAGGACCAGTAAATTTGTGGAAAAAGTCAACATCACTATGTAATAATTGAATGTGAATGAAAAGTACAGAGACGTTAATATCCCACCAATTTGAAAATGATGAAAAAGAATTATGCCTTGTGTGATTCTGAAGAAGTAGCACGTCTTCTACCTACTGCTGAAATAAATATAAACTCACTCACTGGTGTTTTTGGAAATATACATCAAAGCCTAGGGAAAATGTAGATCATTTGCATAGCTAGGAATTTATGCCAGAAAAGAAAATAACAGAGCACCCAAGGGTATAATCATAAGGGGTTTGTCCCTGTGTTTTTCTAGTAGGCAATTCTCAGAAAGTAAAACAAAGGCCAAACAATAAGGGGGCTGCTTAAAGAAAATTTGCCATCTCTACACAACAGAATACTACTCGGTCATTTAAGAATTCTGCTGTAGAAAGTACTTAATCAAACCGGATGCGGTGGCTCACACCTGTAATCCCAGCACTTTGGGAGGTCCAGGAGGGTGGATCACTTGAGGCCAGGAGTTCAAGACCATCCTGGCCAACATGGTGAAAGCCTGTCTCTACTAAAAATACAAAAATTAGCCAGGTGTGCTGGCGTGAGCCTATGGTCCCAGCTATTAGGGAGGCTGAGCCATAAGAATAGCTTGAACCTGGGAGGCAGAGACTGAAGTGAGCCAAGATTGTACCACTGCACTCCAGCCTGGGTGACAGAACAAGATCTTGTCTCAAAATAAATAAATAAATTAAGTACTTAATAAAACATAAAGTTACTTGAAATATATTAAGTAAAACATAGGTTAATAAATAAACCTGTTTGTGCCCAAATATCAGCTGTCTATGACGGCCCTGAGTTACTTTTCAGAGGGTAGCCTTTTGATTCCATTAAAACATTTCTCATCTGCACATGGCTCTGTCAACCACATTCTTATTCTGAAGCACCACTTGGGGAGGATGCATTATTGTGAGGAATGTAATTGTAGATGCTTTTGAAGTTAGATCCCCAAAACACAAAATAATAGGCAGAAACAGTAACATAGATCTGGCAAATATTCTTGGTTGTATGACTACAAGATAAAAGGTATTTAATGCCACTGTAGAAAGCATTTTAAAGACCTCCTTTAAAGGCAGAATGAGACTGGCTGCATTGCAGAGGTCACGAGACCCTGAGTGTAATCAACAGGGGAGGAGAAAAAAAAAAAAAAAGAACAGATCCTAATGTTATGCAAATGGGTCCTCTGGACCTCAGATAAAATTTCCAGCAACAGCATCTGATGCATTCTAAAGGTGTTATATTTTGAACAATTAAGAGGCAGTGAAGAGATGTATTCTTGAAGACAGTGTTGAGAGACTCAAAAACTAGCTGTCAAGGTAAGGACTGCACAAATGTCAGAAATGTGTGTGGAAATTTTGAGTAAAACTGCTTCATGAAGCCTAAGAGTGAAAAAATTTAATATTTATAAATTAAGTTCATTTTATATAATGTGACTTAAATTATGTGTGTGATTAAATTAAATATTAAATAATACACGTAGACACTGACTATTTCTACTATGTTCTTAAATGTTTAGATATTCAAATTGTCAGTTATGCGTTTAGATATATCCATCGGGAAGTGGGCAATTACCTTATATTCAAGGTGGCCTTGTTACTGACACACAAAGTGTATGGTATTATATTTACGATTTGTATGCATACAACTTGTAAATATACACATGCTCACAGGAAAAAAACACAGAAGGTAGAAAATGGATATTGGATTAAATGAAGTCAGGTGGTTATCTCCCTGAAAATGAAAGCATGAGAGCACTTTATTTGCCAGGGCATTCTTTGTGGATTTCTGTGCACTTTAGAGTTTAATGAAGGGTTGGAGTTCCTTATGTAACTTTTGTAAACTTTTCTACAATATACATTATTTTACAAGATAGAAGAGTCCTTAAATATAATGAATTTATGCAACTGCGGAGTAAAGAAAGCTTAATGTTATCCTCAGATTAAAGAAATAGAAGCCTGTCTCAGTGAAGACACAATTGGCAGTGTTAGACTTTGGTGCCTTCAGCCCAAACGTCGGAGGAAACCAGCTGTACCATGTTTCTTTGGCTAAGGAAGATATCACAACTGACTGTATTAGTCATGGTTCTCCAGAGAAACCAAACCATAAGATGCATGTGTGTGTGTGTGTCTGTGTGTGTGTGTGTGTGTGTGTGTGTTTGTGTGTGTATTAGTCTGTTTTCATACTGCTATAAATAACCACCTGAGACTGGGTAATTTATAAAGGAAAGAGGTTTAATTGACTCACAGTTCAGCATGTCTGGGGAGGCCTCAGGAAACTTACAATCATGGTGGAAGGCGAAAGGGAAGCAAGCTGCCTTCTTCACAAGGCAGCAGTTGGCCCTCTTTCTATCAAGGGCTTCAGCTGACTGGATGAGACCCATCCAGATTTTAGAGGGCAATTAGCTTTACTCAAAGTCCGCCAACTTAACTGTTCATCTCATATATATATATATATATATATATATATATATATATATATATGTGTGTGTGTGTGTGTGTGTGTGTGTGTGTGTGTGTATGTATATATATGTATATATGTATATACATATACGTATGTGTATATATGTGTGTGTATGTGTATATATATGTGTATATGTGTATATATATATATTTATATACAAAATTCCTCTGCGTCATTTCAAATAGGTAACAGAAGATATCTAAAACCATGTATCAATCAAAAGGTTGGGGTTACTTTATAACATGAAAATTATTAAATAGAATTATTGCAAGTTGAAAAGTAATGTAAAAAGTTGCAGCTTCAAAAATGTTCCTATTTCTGTGAACTTTGCTCCAACTAAATGTTGCTGTTACTTTGCATTGATATTTGACCTACGTTTTCCTGTAGACACTGAGGAAACAGAGCAGGCAAAGGACGTATTAAAGACTATATCTAAATTCAGCTCAGGCTCACATCTCCTCCTGGGCTAAGCAAAAGGAGGTGAGTGACTTTCCAGAATTTAAGTACCTTCTATTACGCCTTGGACATGTGAGATCAAAGGACTTATCCCTGTCTCCACCCTGTATTTGGCGGCACTGGTACTCCTTCCCCTCCTTGCCATTGCTCAGCTTTGGGTGTTAGTGCTACGTGCCTGACATGTGCTCATGGACCTGAAGACAGGTTTGATCTGGGCAGCTGAGGACCTCTGCATCTTACAGAATGACCCAAACGTCCTTGTCTCCTTAATCAATTTGTCCTTGTAGATATACATACATGTATACATACATATATATACATTATATATATTATATGTATATATAAGCCAATATTCTTCTCAAATGAATCTCTCACTGCTTTTTGCTTTTGCTTTCTACCAGTTCTCTGTGTGGTACAAGCTAAGATTTGACTCTGTTCCTCTGGCGTCAACCACTGCTGGGGAAGGCAAAACAGAGTGAGAACCTGATTGATTTGGCCCTAGTCACTCAATTAAGAAGTTTTAATATTGAACTCCTTGCACAGATGAGGAAAACAAAAGGGTAGAACAAAGAATCCTGATTAAATTTGTTCTGTGGCAGAATCTAGAGTCCTGCCAGTCTGCGAAATCCTTCTCCCAACATTCATTTGCTAAATAGAATCTAGCAAGCCTGGTGAAGGGCTTCTTGCTGCCCAAGAAAAGAAACAAAGTGGCTCATTCACTTATCATTAGAATGATAGGGAGTCTTTCCTATTGGTAAACAGTGAATGTGAGTTGGCAGATGGGGGGATTAGCAGAATAGAGTTTGTTTGGATTGATTTACAGTGGCAAAGACATAAACAGATGTAAGCAGTTTAGCAGAGAACTGCAAATCCTGGGGCAGCCATAATAAAGCATCAGTATACTTAGTTGTAATTATGGTTGCTTAAAATAAATTTAGATATGGAAGTATGACTTGGATTGCTAGAATAATTTCCAGAATTCTAAAAAAAAAAAAAAAGCCCACTCCAGGAATATGAAAGTTCCCCATAAAGCCCTTACTTAGAAGAATAAATCCATTTATGATGTATTTGATAATAACAAAGAATATCGCTATTGCCAAAGAAAATATTAGACCCAAGATATATTAGCCAGAAGAAAATATGATCATTTTTACTGAGCTCAGTGTAATAAATTTTGAGCTCTACAAGGTGGGTGTCATATCCTATTCTGTGAAGTGCTTGACACAGGATAGGTATTCAAGAACCCTTCCGTAACTGTGTGTGTCACCAAAGGCTGAGGTTTACCAGCACGTTAACGTATTTTGACGTGTGTTGGTGAAGATAATGGCTGTAACAGATCAACCTTGGAAGCTCAGTGACTCTAAGGATTGGAAGTTTATTTCTCCCACCCGTAAAATTAAATTAGCATCACCAGGATTGGGGAAGTGGGGAAGGGTCTATTCCAGGCAGTAATTCAGGGGTCTAAGCTGTTGGAGGTGTGCAATTTGCCACCATGGCTACAAAAATCCCTCTGGGAATAAATGCCTATTATAGAGACAGGGGAAGAGAAGGGCTTTAGGAGTGTGAGATTTTTGTTTATTTTTTGTTTTATTTTGTTGTTAATGTGCCCCACTGGGAATGGCATGGGTCACTTCCTCCCTCATTCTACAGTCAAGAACTGCACCGCATGGAGACACCCCGCAGAAAGGAAGGCTGGGAATGCAGTTGGACTGTGTCTGCCCAGGACAAGCCACAGTTTGCTGAGCAACCAGCCAGTCTCTGTCAAGGACGGAGTGCTCCAGCGTAGGAGTCTGAACATCGAGAACTCATCATGCAGGCTTCCCACGCAACGCAGTCCTTCATTCCTGAGATCTGTCCCAGTTGCGTTATCCCACAAATAACTTGTAATCGAATGGAAATAAAGACATGAATACATGTGGTCCAAGGAGGCCACAGGTGAAAGGGAAGTAATATAAAGTTCATATAAAGGTGTTTACCTGCATTCAAATGCAAGGGAAAATCTTAATTATGAAAATTATCCCAAGGCTGCATTTTGTACAAGAGGAACATGTGCTGTCTGTTGGGTTGGGTCTTCCTTCCTAACATAAAACAACAAACTCTTGAATGTCTGTGATGGTAGATGCTGCTCCTGAAAGCGGAAGGAGAGGAGTGAGGAGGATGTTACCTGCAGTAACTGGGACAGAAGACAAGAATTCACAGTGAACAGCTGGAAACTGCTGGCAATGTTCACTGCTATTTCACTAGCATGCTCTCCTGCAAACTGCTAGTTATATTTTCAACCAATACAACACTGTCTTTCATCTCAGTATCGAAGTGGTTGAAAAATCTGCATGTACCTGGAACCACTGTTTTCATATCCTTGAAATTCTGAGTAGTTTTCTGCTAGACAGCAACTGTATTTTCCCATCCAGTTCATGAATCCTACATGTTCTCTCTGAATATGTTGAAAGAGAGTGTTTAAAAAATATATTAAATGTTGAGTATTGGGGCAGAATAATCTCTACCTACATTACTATAATCCACTGAACAATATCTTAACTATACAGAAAGGACTGTCAGCTATGAAAATGTGTCATTTCAATATCTTTAAACATTTCAGAAGTTTTTGGTTGAACGTCACAAGAAACTTAACTCATGCAAGCTTGAGGGAAAGAAGAGTATATTTTAGGGCAACAAAGTTGTATTAAAGTGCTGAAGGGAGGCGAGGAAGCTGGAGCCCTCAGGTTTCCCAGGAAGTTCAACCTGCCCGCCTTTCACCCCTGCACACGGGTGTTGTTTATCTCTTTCACTGACTGGCTCTTTTCTGATTTCCTTTACACACGGTGGAAAACAATTGGTGTCGGAAACACCTCATGCATTCTGTGACCTAACCAGGGTAAACACTGTCTCCCTAGCTACCCACTCCATGACTAATCACCTGCAGCCAAGGGTGGGTCATACTATGGGAACAGCAGACCAAAGGCATCCACTGCCAGACCGTGAGTTATCAACTGCAGCCAAGGCTGGGTCATACTACGGGAACAGCGGACCGAAGGCATCCACTGCCAGACCGTGAGTTATCAACTGCAGCCAAGGCTGGGTCATACTACAGGAACAGCGGACTGAAGGCATCCACTGCCAGACCGTGAGTTATCAACTGCAGCCAAGGCTGGGTCATACTACGGGAAGAGCGGACCGAAGGCATCCACTGCCAGACCGTGAGTTATCAACTGCAGCCAAGGCTGGGTCATACTACGGGAACAGCGGACTGAAGGCATCCACTGCCAGACCATAAGTTATCAACTGTAGCCAAGGGTGGGTCATACTATGGGAACAGCGGACTGAAGGCATCCACTGCCAGACCGTGAGTTATCAACTGCAGCCAAGGCTGGGTCATACTACGGGAACAGCGGACTGAAGGCATCCACTGCCAGACCATGAATTATCAACTGAAGCCAACGGTGGGTCATACTATGGGAACAGCGGATTGAAGGCATCCACTGCCAGACCGTGAGTGCAGCCAGGGGTGGGTCATACTATGGGAACAGCAGACCAAAGCCATCCACTGCCAGACCGTGAGTGGCAGAAAAGCTGTTCCTCAGTTCACTTCAATTCTAAAACTCGAACAAACTAAGTAAAATAAAAGGAAAAGGAAAAGGATGGAGGGTTTTACTCTGGTAATAGTTAAATGGGATAAATTGTCCTTTCCTCAACATACCATAGGACTCTCATTTCTAGGACCTGGGCTAGCTTTAGGTTTTATCTCCTAGGAAATCAGAGTTTATTTTATGTTCCTGGGAGGGGAGGGCAGAGGGAGTTGGTCAGGGTACTAGAGTCCTAGCTGGGATCCAATCTCCAATGCATGGATAATTACCACTCTAATACACCTGTTTGTCACTGTCAGTTATTTGGAGTGATTCTGCACAAGCCTGGTTGCTCGTGGTTAGAGATCTACCCATGCTCCAGGTTCTGACTTTGTTAATTATGGCAGAGGATTCATTTGTGGTAATCAATTTCCATCTGCTGTTTATGATTCATTCCGAGAAAAATTATAACAAGTCACATTTACAGAGGGCTAATTGTTTACTGAACCCCTTCCCATATTTTCCATCCTATTGTTTACACAATATATTCCATAATATTTTCCCTCGCTAATTTAATCAAATCTATGTATATGCCACTATGTATAAAACAATATGGTAATGTACCACTCAATATGTCAGCATGAAGAGTACAGTTTCTGCCACCAAAAAGTTTAGAGCTTTTTTATAGGGTAGACTGTGAAATTAAAATTGTGTATTTCTAGATTTAAAGATAAAAGAGAGCAAAGTAATTCTTATTTAAAAAAAAAAAGGCCTATCAAGAAGGAGATAGCCTGTTGAAATGGAGAGGTTTTGTGGAACATGCTACAAGGAAATATATGTTGAGCTTGACCATATAAATATATTTTCAGTGTTAACTGCTCATGGACTAAGTCGTCTTAGTAAAATAATTGGTTAGGCCGGGTGCAGTGCCTCACGCCTGTAATCCCAGCACCTTGGGAGGCCGAGATGGGCGGATCACGAGGTCAGGAGATCGAGACCACCCTGGCTAACATGATGAAACCCCATCTCTACTAAAAATACAAAAAACTAGCCAGGCGTGGTGGCGGGCGCCTGTAGTCCCAGTTACTTGGGAGGCTGAGGCAGGAGAATGGCATGAACCTGGGCGGTAGAGTTTGCAGTGAGCCGAGCTGAGGTTGCACCACTGTACTCTAGCCTGGGCGACAGAGCAAGATTCCGTCTCAAAAAAAAAAAAAAAAAAAGACTTGGTTAATGAAAGAGAATTGAAAAAGATTAAACTAATAGACAGGTGAGGCATAATTGTAGAATGCTCTGAGAATCAGTATGATGATCTTTGTTCTTCAGGCTATGAAAAGTCCTTGAAATTTTGTGAGCATCGAAGTGCTGTGTTAGTGTTTGCTGCTCATAAAACATCTTCAAAATATCAATGACTTACAACAACATGTGTGTGTTATCTTACTTGGGTCTTCAACTCAGACATTACTACTCGGAGCAGGAGGCTTGCTCCAGAAGGTCATGTAGATTTATGAACGTGCATAGGGTTCCTCAGTCTCCTCGGACCTTAACAAAGTGCTCAAAGGGAAACAAGAGAGATGAGCAAAATATATAATAACTCTTCAGACCTTGCCTGCAAACTGGCATGCATAACTTCTGTCCACTTCCATTGTGCAAAGCAAGTTATGTGGCAAAGCCCAACATAAATGGGGTGGAAAATTATGCTCTACTTGGGTGAAAGATAACACAACGTCATCACACAGAAAAGGACCTAGATGCAGGGAGAGTGTGAAGAACTGGGAACAATGACCCAATCTGTCACAAGTGTCATAAACAGAGTGTTGCCTTGGAAATGTTTCTTTGGCAACATGTCTGATCCACAAGATAAGCTAGAGTAACACTGGGGGTTTGGAAGCGAGTGGCCGTATTGTACATCAGAGTTATATTTCTGGAAAAATTTTATCCATTTGTTGCAAAGTTAGAATCTTCAGGTTTTCTAAAAATCCATTAGTCATTGTCAGTCATACGCTTGTCAAGAACCATGAAGTGTCTGAGGTTATACCCTGTTAAAAGTTTTCAGGCCAGGTTCACCCACCTTGTTTCAACTGGCAAGATTTCCTTCTTTTTCAAGTCTGCATAATATTCCACAGTATATATTATATATATATATATATAGTATATAAATTATATATACTGAATATATAATCTGCATGTACCTGGAACCATTTTAATATATACAGTATATATAATATGTGTATATAATATGTACAATATATAATACATATACAGTGGAATATTATGCAGCCTTGAAAAAGATGTATATATATATATATATATATATATATATATATATGTAGGTATGTTCTACATATATATATATATATATATATATATATATATATATATATATATAGATTGAGAAAGAGAGAGAGCCCGTTTTTCTCCTCAACAACAAGGATCATTGGGAAATGCATTGTTAGGTAATTTCATGGTTGTGCAAACATCATAGAGCATGCTTAGGTAAACCTGGTTGGTGTAGCCCACTACACATCTGGGCTACATGGTATAGCCTATTGCTCAGATCACTGTCATACATGTGGCGCATCACTGACCAAAACATTGTTAAGCAGCACGTGACTGTACATACTATGTTTTTAAATCCATTCATTCATCAGCAAACACTTAGTTGTTTCCACATCTTTGCTATTGTGAATAATATTGCAATAAACATGAGAGTGCAGACATTTCTTTGAGGTGGTGATTTTATTTCTTTTTAATGTATACTCAGCAGTGGGATTGCTGGATAATATGGTAGATCTATTTTTAATTCTGGGGGGAATCTCCATACTGTTTTCCATGATGACTGCGCTAATTTACACTCCCACCATGGAAGAGCCTGGAGGACATCACACCAAGTGAAATAAGCCAGGGAAAGACAAATACTGCATGATCCCACTTACATATGGAATCTATAAAAGCTAAACTCAGGAACTGAATAGAAGAGCAGTTGACAGAGCCTGGATGTTAGAGGCAATGGAGAGCATTGATCAAAATATACAAACTTTCAGTTATAAGATGAATGAGTTATGGGGAATCCAATGTACGGCATGGTAGTTAAAGTTAATACCATTGTACTGCATACTTGAAGTTTACTAAGAGTGTAGCACTTAAATGTGCTTACAACAACAACAACAAAGTTTACTATGTGAGGTGATGAATATGTTAATTAGCTAACGTGGTAGTCATTTTACAATGTGTACATGTATCAAAACATCATATTGTACATCTTGAATATATACAAGTTTTATTTATCAATTAGACCTCAATAAAGCTGGGAAACAAAGTTACCAGGTTATAGTTACATGGATGATGGCAGAAGACACAGAATCCTAGAACAGAGGCAAAGAACTTTATGAGCTATGGCACAGCATAAAGGTCAGTTTCAGTGTAATGTGTATATAAGTACACTGTATATATTAAAGCTATGATAAAATATGCATATATATTTAAAATTGTGACAGCTTCCCGGTAGGTCTTTGTCATAAAATACCCCTCTTAAACTTTAGAAATTATTGTTTTAGAAATCTTTTGTCATAAAATACCCCTCTTAATCTTTAGAAATGCTTCTTGCATTGCGTTTGCTATTAATAGAATATCCGCACTTTGTTTTGTTTAGAGGTTGCATGGTCTTTTTTTTATACTTTTATTTTCAACTTGCTGGGTTCTTATAATTAAGGCATATCACTTTAATAATACATAACTGACTTTTGCATTTTTTCAATCTAGCAATCTTTGTCTTTTAATTGTACAGTTTAATCCATTTACATTAAGTGAAACTATTTTTATATTTGGTTTTTACTTGCAGTATTATTTTATTTGATCTGTTTGTCTCAACTGTTTTAATTTTTCATCCTTTCTGCTTTCGTATTAATAGTTAATTTGTTTTCTTTTTTTCCACATTCATTTTATGAGCTTGTTAGTAACATATATGCATACAATATTATGGGCATGTGTTTAAATTCTAAAATTAAATTGCTGATGTCACTTTGTGTATTCAATATCCATTTACAGTTTCTTCTGTATTTACTATGCTGTTCTTCATTCCCTCCTACATAGCTGGGGCTCTGCCTGAGAGCCTGAGGTTTTTCCAAAGCTCTTCCTCCTTCCTGGTTCCTGAACTCAAGCATGAAGGCCCCTCAGCTTCTTGAGAACACCAACTCTGCTCTGTTAGTCAACAACATTAATTCTTAGTCACCAGCTCAGTGGAGCTTAAATATTAAGCATTTGCCTTAAAGGCAAGACTGCTGAGCATGTGGCTCACAGCTACTGGTTGGCCCTCCAAGTCCTGCCTACCTCGGCAGTTCCAAGTTCTAGCTTTATGTCTGCAGCCCCAGATGTTCCCTAAAGCTCAGGTGATGTATTTATTTTTTATTACTATACTTTAAGTTTTAGGGTACATGTGCACAATGTGCAGGTTAGTTACATATGTATACATGTGACATGCTGGTGTGCTGCACCCACTAACTGTCATCTAGCATTAGGTATATCTCCCAATGCTATCCCTCCCCCCTCCCCCCATCCCACAACTGTCATCAGAGTGTGATGTTCCCCTTCCTGTGTCCATGTGTTCTCATTGTTCAATTCCCACCTATGAGTGAGAACATGCGGTGTTTGGTTTTTTGTTCTTGCGATAGTTTACTGAGAATGATGATTTCCCATTTCATCCATGTCCCTACAAAGGACATGAACTTATCATTTTTTATGGCTGCATAGTATTCCATGGTGTATATGTGCCACATTTTCTTAATCCAATCTATTATTGTTGGACATTTGGGTTGGTTCCAAGTCTTTGCTATTGTGAATAGTGCCACAGTAAACATACATGTGCATGTGTCTTTATAGCAGCATGATTTATAGTCCTTTGGGTATATACCCAGTAATGGGATGGCTGGGTCAAATGGTATTTCTAGTTCTAGATCCCTGAGGAATTGCCACACTGACTTCCACAATGGTCGAACTAGTTTACAGTCCCACCAAGAGTGTAAAAGTGTTCCTATTTCTCCACATCCTCTCCAGCACCTGTTGTTTCCTGACTTTTTAATGATTGCCATTGTAACTGGTGTGAGATGGTATCTCATTGTGGTTTTGATTTGCATTTCTCTGATGGCCAGTGATGGTGTGCATTTTTTCATGTGATTTTTGGCTGCATAAATGTCTTCTTTTGAGAAGTATCTGTTCATGTCCTTCGCCCACTTTTTGATGGGGTTGTTTGTTTTTTTCTTGTAAATTTGTTTGAGTTCATTGTAGATTCTGGATATTAGCCCTTTGTCAGATGAGTAGGTTGCGAAAATTTTCTCCCATTTTGTGGGTTGCCTGTTCACTCTGATGGTATTTTCTTCTGCTGTGCAGAAGCTCTTTAGTTTAATTAGATCCCATGTGTCAATTTTGGCTTTTGTTGCCATTGCTTTTTGTGTTTTAGACATGAAGTCCTTGCCCGTGCCTATGTCCTGAATGGTAATGCCTAGGTTTTCTTCTAGGGTTTTTATGGTTTTAGGTCTAACGTTTAAGTCTTTAATCCATCTTGAATTGATTTTTGTATAAGGTATAAGGAAGGAATCCAGTTTCAGCTTTCTACATATGGCTAGCCAGTTTTCCCAGCACCATTTGTTAAATAGGGAATCCGGAGGAAGATCTACCAAGCAAATGGAAAACAGAAAAAGGCAGGGGTTGCAGTCCTAGTCTGTGATAAAACAGACTTTAAACCAACAAGGATCAAAAGAGACAAAGAAGGCCATTACATAAAGGTAAAGGGATCAATTCAACAAGAAGAGCTAACTATGCTAAATATATTTGCACCCAATACAGGAGCACCCAGATTCATAAAGCAAGTCCTGAGTGACCTACAAAGAGACTTAGACTCCCACACATTAATAATGGGAGACTTTAACACCCCACTGTAAACATTAGACAGATCAATGAGACAGAAAGTCAACAAGGATACCCAGGAATTGAACTCAGCTCTGCACCAAGTGTACCTAATAGACATCTACAGAACTCTCCACCCCAAATCAGCAGAATATACATTTTTTTCAGCACCACACCACACCTATTCCAAAATTGACCACATAGTTGGAAGTAAAGCTCTCCTCAGCAAATGTAAAAGAACAGAAATTATAACAAACTCTCTCTCAGACCACAGTGCACTCAAACTAGAACTCAGGATTAAGAAACTCACTCAAAACCGCTCAACTACATGGAAACTGAACAACCTGATGTATGTACTTTTTAGAAACGTATTGACTCAGAGCTGTGAATTTACAAGAGGCCGTATGTGAAAAGCAGGTTTATAATACAGACTCACCTTATGTAGTTCTCTTTTCTTTACAATTTTGGCCCTCAAGATCTGGTTGCTCTAAAAGCTCTCATTGCCTTTAACCAGGTGTTCCATTCTTGTAAACTATGTGGCTATTCTAGTTCTAATCAGACATGTTGTTTGCCACAAGCCAGAACTCTTTGTGCGTGTGTGTGTGTGTGTGTGTGTGCGCACGCAAGCTCATGTGTGCATTTTGATTACTGTAGAAGGAGAAATTTGACAAGAGACATATCAAACCCCAATAGACTGATATTACGGTGACGGAAAAGATCGTAAGAGCATTGGATTTTCTTTTCCAAGTTATCATAAAGACAAAAATCTTAAAGGTTTTCTGAAACTTCTTTCTTTGTGGCTATAATAAAAATCAATCAAAGTATTCTACAGATCCTTTGTAAACTGCCAGTAGACTGTGTCTACTTGTTTAATATTGCACATATTAATTACATGTAAAGAAGAAGACAAATATACATGATGTGTATTTACCCAGGCATATTACAGAAGGAAAAGCTTCCATGAGGGAAAGCTTCCTCTGCAGGAGTCTTGACCCCCTGACTATGCTGGACGCCCTCAGCCCCAACCACCATTATCAGCCTTTATATTCACCATCTGTGCTTCCTCTGGATCCAGGTGTGGCCATTTCTTTCACTGGGCTCCAGCCTCTGAGCCCGCTCAGTTTCCCATGGTCTTTACAGGCTTTGCCTCCTGGTCTTAACTGCAGCCATCCCTGGGCCTCATCTTCTCCATATGCTAGGCATGTAGAAAGTATCTGTGCTCACGCACCAAGACACATCGCACGCTTGCAGCATCCTGTAGCTCACCTTTAGCTCTTGTTTATTTGTGGATGGACATTGAGGTTTATTCTATATCTTGGCTATTGTGAAAAATGTTGCAATAAATATGCAGGTGCAAATATCTGATATACTGATTTTCTTTCCTTTGGATAAATATTCATTAGTGGGAATGCTGGATCATATGGTAGTTCTGTTTTTAGTTGTCTGAGGCACTTCCATACGGTTTCTCATAATAGCTATACTAATTTTTATTCCCATCAACAGTGTGTGAGGGTTCCCTTTTTCTACACCATCCGTAACACTTGTTATCATTTGTTATTCAATGATCGCCATTCTAACAGGTGTAAGCTGTTATCTCACATGGTTTTAATTTGATTTTCCCTGATGATTAGTGACCACCTTTTTATATACCCGTGGTCCATTTGTACATCGTTTTTATTTTTTGGAGAAATGTCTATTTAGATTCTTAGCCCATGTTCTAACTGAGTTATTTATTTATTTATTAATACTGAGTTAAGTTTCTTATATATTTTGGATATGAACACCTTATCAAATACATGGTTTGCAAATTTTTTTCCCATTCTGTAGGTTACCTTTTCATTTTGTTGTTGTTGTTTTCATTGCTGTGCAGAATCTGTTTGGTTTTACCTAGTCTTAGTTGTTTCTTTTTCTTTTTTGCCTGTGCTTTTGGTATTACATCCAAAAAATCATTGCCAAGACAAATGGAAAGGATTTTTTTCCCCTCCGATTGTTTTCAGGAGATTTATGGTTTCAGATCTTATATTTAAGTGTTTAACCCGTGGTAAATTGAACTTTGACAAGAGGGCCAGGAATGCACAATGAGGAAAGGAAAGTCTCTTCAACACACGGTGCTGGGAAAACCGGATATTCACATGTAAAACAATGGAACTGGATCATTGACTCATGCATTTTGAGATGGATGCATTTCTAAATACTTGGATGAATGCATAGTCAACTTTTTAAAATGTTATTTTATATCTGTTGGCAACAGTTAATGAAAAAGAACTCCTGAATAAAAACAGTTAGTGAAAGCCAATTACTTTCTTTCCGGTCATCTGTAGAAATCAAAACAAACACGAAAATGTGTCCCTGAGTTTCTAGAGTTTAAACCAAATTGGATGTATGTAAAAGGAATTGCTGAAAGTGTTTCATCACAATTTCAAGCAAACCAAAAAAATTAGTAAAATAAAAATAATAAAGATATGTTGTGGAAGCTATGTGATTACTGTCTCATAGAAAATTGCATAAAGTATTTATTATGTCAGTAGCAAGTTTTAACATCCCACTTCAAGAAATTTTGTCCTTTGCTACTTTACTGTGATATAATCAGTCATATTATCTTCGTAAATTTCCTTTGCAATCACTAAAATAACAAAACACATTTCGTCTGAAAATTATTGTATTTTTACCGGTATCGTTTGCTTGTTTGATTTTGGTATATATTTTCCTTGAGGCACAGAATTTAGTGTTTTACCAAAAGCCTTTTTTTTTTTCTCTCAAAACCACCCTTAGTAGTGTAAGTTGTATATTATCTCATATCTTGTATATATTACATCAAATTACATTGTGACTCTACTTTACTCTTGGAATACATTTTCAGATCTGCAACAAATATGTATACCTACTTCCAAGTAAAACTCAGGTAACTACTTCAAGCAAGTTTTTTCTCCCAATACAGATTTTTAGAGCAAGAAGTCAAGTCTACCTCGAGGGTTCAAACCCAAGGTCTGCACTTCTTTGCTGTGTGTCCTGAAGGAAGTTACTCAGCCTCTGTGCCCATCAGTGAGAGTATAGATAATAATAGCATATAAGTCATAAGATTTTTGTTGGGATAAAATAAATTAAGGCATGTAAGGCACTAAGAATGGTGCTTGGGTGGAATGTGAGTTGGATTAATATTTGCTGTTGTTTTTGCTCTCTTGCCTATAGGTTAATATCCAGAGTCACACGTGGAGAGGAAGCATCACAATGAGACCATACAACCATATAATCTGTTCAAGTCCTAGAAGGTGTTGGCAGAGCTGCAGGACTGACCTAGGTCAATGGCTGTGGGGTAAGGAGAGAGGTTTTGTGATTGTTTTTAAAAATCCCAGTGGGTATAGCAGGCGCATCCCTGTCTTCCTCAATCGTGGAAGCTAGGGATTTTAATCAGCTTTGGGATAGATTGCCCTTTGCTATAGTCACATGTCCTCTGCAGTGCTGTGAACACCTCCTATGTGAGGCAATGCATGACCAGCAAGGTTGGGAATCCAGTGATAAGCCTCAGAGTAAATGCTTCCTATCAAATGTGATAAAGTGATCTTGTAAACTGAACAATTCCTATAGAAAAATGTATGTCACTCAAGACTTATGGGGTTTCTTCAAGGAGATAATCTCGTTTAAGTTTGAACTCAGGCTATTATGTGCCAGTCTGTAATAGTTTTGGGAAAACTGTATTTATTTTTGTTTGAATATTGGATCCCACTGGAGATTAGAAACAGAGATGACAAACACTGTAAGAGATACATAGGTATATAGATAGATCGATCTGATCTCCTCTACTCAGGTCATAGAAAAAACTGTATTTATTTTTGTTGGAGTATTTGATCCCACTGGAGATTAGAAACAGAGGTGACAAACACTGTAAGATAGATAGATATCTGATGTCTTTCCCCCAGGTCATAGAAAAAAAAACCCAAAAGATCTTAAAGTAGTTTAATGCAGGCCACCCTAGACTACTCTTGCAGTAGAATCACATGGAACTAAATCACTCAACCCCAGGAAGTGCTCCATTGTTTAGGACTGAGGTCTGATGTCTTTGGGAGGTCAAAGGGTGTATATTGGTGTCACCATGTGTGGGGTAGCTTGGGGGTGGCCCTGAAGGAAATTGTTTGTATTGTCACTTTCTGAGGGAGGCCAATCCTGAGGCAAGAAAAAAAAGGAATTGAGAGTGGGAGTTATATAGAGATATGGAAAAACCTTTCCCCTTATTCAGAAGCCTTATGGTATTTTATTCTAGAATCTGCCAATTAGAGAACCTCAACCTATGGCTAATAATGGGCATCTGCTTGGCCTTAGCCAGGGTACTAGGCTTGGAGCCAGGCTCGCATGTGGCTGAAAAAAGACTCAGAGGATGCCTTGAGCATTAGCCCTGAGTTCAGCCTTTTACAGTTTCCAGTCTAAGGTTCAAGTCTCTAATATGTTTTGGTTGATTTTTTATGTGATGTGAGGTAAGGGTCCAATTTCATTCTTCTGCATGTGGCTATCCAGTTTCCCCAGCAGCATTTACTGGAGAGACTATTCTTTCCACATTGTGTTTTATTAATGCCCTTGTTTAAAATTAGTTGATAATAGATGCATGGGTTTATTTCTGGGCTATTTTGTTTCATTGGACTGTGTATCTGTTTTATGCCCATATCATGCTGTTTTGATTACTACAGCTTTGCAATGTAATTTGAAACCAGGGAATGTAATTCTTTCAGCTTTGTTCGTCTTGTGCAAGATTGCTTTAGGTATTCGGGATATTCTGTGAGTCCATATGAATTTAAGGATTTTTTTTTCTATTTCTGTAAAAAATGCCATTGGAGTTTTGAAATGGATTGCACTGAATCTGTAGATCACATTCGGTAGTATGAATATTTTGACAATATTTATTCTTCTGGTTTTTTAACATTGTTCTGGTTTTCATTTTTTGTCTATTTTAATTCTTTACATCAGTATTTTATAGATTTCAATGTACAGATCTTTCACATCTGTGGATAAATTTATTCCTAAGTAAATTTTTACTACCATAAATGAATTTTTTCTTAATTTCTACATTAAGAAAAAAGAAAGATCTCAAATAATCCAATTTGACAACTCTTGGAACTAGAAAATGAAGAACAAAGTAAGCCCAAAGTTGGTAGAAGGAAAGAAATAATAAAGATTGGAGCAAAAACAGATTGAGAAGAAAGGCAATAGAAAAGATCAATGAAGCTGAGAGTGTTTTTTGTTAAAAGATAAACAAAACTGACAAATCTTTAGCTAGACTAGCTAAGACAGAGAAAAGACTCAAATAAAATTACAAATTAATGTGGAGTCATTCCAACTGACACCACAGAAATACAAGGGTTCATTCAAGACTGCTATGAGCAATTATACACCAATGATTGGAAAACCTAGAAGAAACTGATAAATTCCTAGAAACATACAATCTTCGAGACCAAATTATCAAGAAATAAAAAAAACCTGAACAACCAATAACGAGAATATTGAATTAGTAATAATTTTTAAACCCTTTCAACAAAGAAAAGTTTACGATGAGATTGTTTCATGGTGAATTCTACCAATTAATGCCGATTATCCTCAAACTCTTCCAAAAACTGACGAAAAGGAAGTACATTCAAACTCATTTTCGAGGCCACATTACCCTGATGTAAAAGCCAGACAAGGACACTGACACTATCAGAAAAGAAAACTACAGACCAATATTCTTGATGAACATAGATGGAAAACTCTTCCACAAAATACTAGCAAATGATTTTCAACAGCATATTAAAAGTATCATTGACCATGATCAAGTATTACGTTGATGAAATTATTTTTGCACCAACCTAACAGAATTTATTCCAGGGATGCAAAAATTATTACTTTATTATTGATATAATTCCACACACTGTTTTTATGTTTGTACAAAGAGGAATCTTGATAGCAAGAAAATAGTATGTGTGTTAGAACTGTAACAACTCTGTTACCAAAATTCTGTGGTTGAGATTCAATGAAAATAAATAAATATATATATGTGTGTGTATATATGCATTTTGAGAGAAAGAGACAGAGAGAGAGATCTTAGAATTTTAAGCTATTACTCTGGGTAATTAATGTTTCAGACTTCTTCCTACACTGCAAATAACATTACTGAAATAAAAACAATAAGAGTAATTTGAATACTTTATATTTTCTTTTTAAAACTTTTCCTTTGTTCTCTCCTTGCATAAGTTCAAAACCTCTTAGTACTTTATCATCACTCATTATTATTTTGTCTGAACTCAGTCTGACAATATATCTATTCATTTATTCAAACAATATCTTCAATTACGTTTTGATTCATGACAAGTAAAATACAATCATATACCAAGCGCCATGTTTTATGATGGAGTCTCCTGACTCAGCAAAGCCTCCCTACTTTATGTAAGGAGGACGAAAATGCATGCGCATAACTGTCTGAGGGATAGGATGGGACCCGGCCCTCTGGGAGCCAAGATGGGCCTTCCTGACAGCAGGAAATTACTCTCAGCTATGGGGAGACTGAGACTGGCCACCAAGGGGAAGATGCTTAACAATTGGAAATATGCAGACCTGGCAGTAAAACTAAATCAGAACAGAGGAATGATCAGAAATAATGAAGAGATGATATGAAGAGTACACTTAGGAATAAGAACAGAAGTTGTTGTTTTTCTCTAATTGAACAATAATTGAATTAGGCATGTGTGAGTGTGAAGCATATTCAGTTCATTGACTTATTAGGGCACATTTTCTGAGGCTGTTTTCTGAAAAGATGGAAATATCAAATATTCTCATGGTTTTTATTTTCGCATTTGTTTCCAACTGGTTCAATGACAGCAAGTAAGACAGTGTTACTCGTAAAAACGGAAACGGTTGGCAATATTCCTGCAGCTGTTTAAAGAAAAATTTAGTGCAGGACAGTTATCAAATAATTCACTATTTCATTTCTTACGTAAGTTCTTTTCAGTGTCTGCTAACAGATTTAACTGCCTGCCACCTGAGCACTGGAGCCACCACAGTACTCAATCAAGACAGGTATGAAAGAGTTTAATCTATGAAAAACTGCCAGTCTCTATTTTTTCCTTTAATTTCTAAGGATATTTCAACAGCTTCAGGTAAAGGTGAGATTTAATGGTTACATATTTGACTTCAAACTCATGCCTAGGAGCTAAATGTAGGTGTTAAAATCACAAGAAGTATATAGAAGAGTCATCTATGAGGGTTTTTTTTCTACTCAGTGCACTAAATGATCAAGTTATTTACTGTTCTGTTACTGGCATTTCTAAAACCATCCCCACCAGACCTCTGACTCACTATTCCTTTGCACTGAAGTTTTCATTTTAGAGTTCTTTTATTAAAAAAGAAAAGATATCTCACCTCAATATTGCTATGATTATGCTCCTATAAGACAGTGGAAATTACCTAGTAATTGCTCAAGAGGATTTTATATGGATCACAAGAGAGTGGTTCTGTTCGGTGCTAATCAAGGCAAGGATGTTTACTGAACTCTTCTATGAGTAAGCCACAACAGCTGGGGAGCTACAGAGGAAACTGAGAGGCACATGACATAGCATTTGACCTCAAAAAGCTCCAAAAATTTAGCAGCAATAAGCCCCAAATGCATCCATCTGGGCTGAGCCCTCCTGCAACTACCAACCAGCCTCCCTCCACTGTGGTCCCATTCTGCCTGGGCACAGGGTCAGGTGTTCATTTATCTCTATTCCTGTCTGTATTCATCCATTTTCATACTGCTATGAAGAAATACCCAGGACTGGTATTTCTGGTAAAGAAAGAGAGGTCTAATGGACTCACAGTTCCACATGGCTGGGGAGGCCTCATGCTTATGGCGGAAGAGGATGGAGGAGCAAAGCCACATCTTATGTGGTGGCAGGCAAGAGAGTTTGTGCAGGGGAACTGCCCTTTATAAAACCATCAGATCTCATGAGACTTATTCAAGGTCAAGAGAACGGCATGGGAAAACCCACTCATGATTCAGTTACCCCCAACTGGGTCCCTCCCACAACAGGTGGGGATTATAGGAGCTACAGTTCAAGATGAGATTTGGGTGGGGACACAGCCAAACCATATCATTCTGTTAGTTCCAAAGTCTGTATCAACTTTAGATTACGAAATCTTTAATGCTCAAGACTGGACTCTGTTCATCATCTTTGAACGTCCAAGTCCTACAACAAACTTAAGAATTAAACCAAACAGCTTAGAAGCACTGCCACAAACATGAAAACATGCAGCCATGAACCTCACCCCTCATCTCTGTTCCTCCTCTGGGTTCTTCCTTCTCAGGTATCAGCACCTCTGTTCACATTAGCATCTCCACATCCTCTTTGGACTTTGCCTTCTCACACTCTCCATTTCAGATCCATTGCGGTCTTGCTCCTCCCTCCCATGCTGTTTTCAAGTTCCTCCCTTGGCTCCCTCCCCACTTCTGGCCATACCACCCCTGGGAGAATTCACACCACCCTACTGGGGCCATGTGTGAGTGTTCCCCTCTCCACCAGCTGCCGGAACATCCTTGTTGTAGGAGTAATTCTTCACAACACAAATTGGGTAACATTACAGCTCTGCTCAAAGCTGGCAATGGTGCATTTCACTTTAAAGAATCACAAGCCCCATCACATGCCTGTATCGTGGGGCATCACCCAGCCCCACACCCAGCCACGTCTCTGAAAACAGATTGCGTCATTCTTTTCCATGCCTGCTGCGCTCCGCGAAACCACCTTGGGCCATTTGCACAGCCCATGTCCACTACCCAGAAGGCTCATCCCCAAGAATGCTCCAGTGAACTCTTACCCATCCTGCATGCCTCCATCCAAACGCCCTTCCTCAGGGGTCTTTTCCTACTCCCCCATCTAAACTGTGCCATTTCTTCTGGTGTATTCTGTGTCTTCACATCCTGTTCTTTCTTTTGTAGAAATGATGACAATTTTTAAGTCTGTATGTATTCCTGTTCCCTCAAAATCAATGTTTTGCTGAGGCTGTTTCTGTTGCCCATCCCTCTAACTTGAGGGCACCAACACACCTGGCACACTGGAGATGCCCAGGACATGCTGCCAAATGGGAGAATCAATAAAACAGCAGCCAAGGAAGTGGAAATGGGAGGAAGAGTTCAAATGAAGATGCCTATCCTTGAATGAACTTTCATTTGAAGGGACATGGACAGCTATATTACTATATTAGTCGATTTTCATGCTGCTGATAAAGACTTACCTGAGACTGGGAAGAAAAAGAGGTTGAATTCGACTTACAGTTCTACATGGCTGGGAGGCCTCAGAATCATGGTGGGAGGCAAAAGACACTTCCTACATGGCGGCGGCAAGAGAAAATGAGGAAAAAGCAAAAGCGGAAACCCCTTATTAAACCATCAGATCTCATGAGACTTATTCACTACCTTGAGAACAGTATGGAGGAAACTGTCCCCATAATTTAAATTACCTCCTATTGGGTCCCTCCCACATCATGTGGGAATTATGGGAGTACAATTCAAGATGAGATTTGGGTGGGGACACAGACCCAAACCATATCAGCAGCTGACAGCTTCTCAAGCAAAAGATAAGCAAAATCTGGTGCTGATTTGCAGTGACTCATCTGGTCTGGTTAATGAGTGCAGAGCCCACTCTATTTCTGACTCTCATCCATGAGTACAAAGAGGGCAGCAGGGATCCAACTAGTAACAGTGAACACAGCCATGGGAGCGTAACCCTCCCCACCAATGCCTTCCTGGTCTGCCATTCACCACCATGCGGTGCCCTCGCAGCCTCCAGCCATCTCCTGAAAGGGTGGAGTTTGTCAGAAAGCACCCGGGTGAGGGGCACGGGTCACGACAAACTCTAGGTGCCTGCTCCCAGCATCCTGAGATCTCCCTTGAGAACTGACAAAGTCAACGTTTGGTTAATTTATATCTGATATGGAAATTCACACAACTGAACGATGGGGTGAGCTCAGTTGGCTTCTGGAAGCTGCGAGAACATCCCATAGAGAGCATCTTGGGGATAAATGGATTCAGGCAGCGTGAACATCGGCCCCGACATCCCCACAGAGACACTTGCAGAAGGGCCTTTGCTGAAAAACGTTACGTCAGTAATTTCAAGGACTGGCTAGCTAATGATTAGCAAACAAATCCTGATCTAAGTGTTTACTAAATGAAGGGGTTGATAATATCCGCCATCGATTGTCTTGAAGAGTCCGTGAAAAAGTGGATCCCAATTCAGCTAATATGAAAAATTAGAAAGGAAACATCTGGAGGATCAACCGGAGGCTTGCTGGAGGAGCAACCCTCCCTCAGGGCCTAGGCAGGCAAGGGAGGGTAGGAGACACGGGACGGAGCAGCGTGGGAGATGAGGGCTTCCCGTAGGAGATGCTGCAGTTGCCCTGAGGCCGATCTCATTCATATCCCGAACTCTGAAAAGCAAACGAGGTCTCTGAATGCTTGGCACGTGCCAAACTGGGCTCCAGCGTTTGCTGTTCATCCGGCGCACAAACAGCGTTCCACGAATGTGCACAGAAGCACGGTTCCTGGGCCCTAAATTTGTCAAGGCTCTGACGGCTGCTACTAGCGTGGTCCCTGAGAGCATCTTAACATGGGAACGCCTCTATCAGGTGTTTTCCCAGGCACAAAGGTAAACACAAAGTCAGGTAATTACTGCACGTTTATATCACACCAGCACATGGCCCGAGGCAGTGGCTCATGCCTGTAATCTCGGTACTTTGGGAAGCTGAGGTGGGCGGATCACTTGAGATCAGGAGTATGTAGGAGACCAGCCTGTCCAACATGGTGAAACCCTGTCTCTACTGAAAATACAAAAAGTAGCCGGCGTGCTGGCACGCACCTGTCGTCCCAGCTACTTGGGAGGCAGGAAAATCACTTGAACCCAGCTGGTGGAGGTTACAGTGAGCTGAGATCACACCACTGCACTCCAGCCTGGGCAACAGAGCAAGACTCATCTCAAAAATAAATAAACAGAAAATAAAACATATATCACACGGGCACCCATCTGACCTAAACAATGCATAGCACAAGGAGTTAAGTCCAAGCCATGCCATAGGAGCCCTCCCGGAAGACAGAGTGGTGAAATTCAGGACGGCCTGATGACAGCTTCGAATCCCCATCAGAAGAAAACCCAGCACCTGGTTCAACGTGTGAGAAACCATAGCGGGGACTTTTGGGAGAGTCCATCACACACACCATGAAGCTCCCATGAAAGCACAAAAGAAGTGTCTAACCTGACCGGAGGAGTTCAAGAGACAGAGCGAAGACCAGCAGCTCCTCCTCCAGCTTCCAACGCAGAGCGCAGTCGGCGAGACTGCAGCTCATTGCCGCTCAGGGACCCCTGGAAGGCGGCCTCTCTCCACCAGCTTCACCTTCACCGCAGCTGCGGAAGCTCATGCTCCCCTCTGCAGCCTGCGGCTTTGATTCCTGGAACGCAGTACCGCAGACGCCACAGGCATTTTTATGGGGAAACCGCTCTTTCTGTCCTTGCCTGCACTCCCAGGCCCTCTCCTACCTCCTGTTGGGAAAGATTCGGTGACTGAAACCTTTTGCTTTTCATGTTTTCTCTGTTGGAAATAAATGCAGATGCTTTTGTACACGGATTTTATAATAAAGTCGTTAAGATCTTGAAAATGTAGTGTTAAGATCAAACTCTTTTTCAATTATTGTTTAATACTTTACTTGCCAGGTCACACTATCACATGGGAATAGAAGTCATTAAGAGGCACATGAAAACCTTGCCATGAAAAGTGTATTAGGAAAGAAAAGACTCTCAAAGTGAGAGGAGTCGATCTGTGCTCCTCATTCTTTCATACATTAAGTTGCTAATAAAAAACGGTTGTATCAGTGTTGGGTGTTATTCATCTCTATGATTAACTATGATTAAATATAAGTATAGGACTTAAGTTTCTATTTTTCTACTATTAATTCCCAAAACTAAAAAGCTACATTTCTAAGGGTAAAATTCAAAAATAATCAAAGTAATGATAACAATTGAGGATTTTCTCAAAGTCACATATATTAGCCATTCATTAAAATTTTATTTTTTGCTAAGAGAATATGACTTTGGGAGACTGAGTTTGTAAATGATCAATTACCACGCCACATATAAAAGCAGAACTCTGACCCACGATTTGCCGCGAGCAGCCCCGGGAGCCAGCGCTTGTCTGCAGGAGCCAGTTCGGAAGCCACCTGCTGCAAGTCAGAGTCCAGAAAGGAAGGCCGGGGTGTCAAGCAACGGCCCAGAAGGCCAAACAGTTCACCCTGAGGCAATCAGTGCCAAAGGGCCAGGATGTAATTAATGACTGACAGATTCTGTAACGTTGTCCCCAATTCCAACCTAGGACCAGGTGGAGAAAGCCAAGTGTTCCCCTAGTCAATTCCATGAGATGTCCCCACTACCACCACAGCCTCCGCCGGGGCTCCCCGAGCCGCTCTCCCCGCTCCCTGCCTCCTGAGTCTCTGCCAAGCCCAAAGTGTGGTGGTGGCTCCATCTGTCTAGCAAGCTCTGAATAAATAGCTCTTGCCTGTTCTCATTTGGTTGGTCTCTGTTCATTCTCACAACTGGAGTGGTCACATTATGCCTCCTTCCTTCATATTAACATCTCCAAAAGGATGTTTTTAACACTCCTAGATGCAGAACTCCATATTGCTTCAAATCCCCTTGTTCCCTTTTCATAGAATACGAATGGTGTGGGACATGCGGAGGTTGGAATGTGCACCTTACAGGAGAAAGGCCCCTGCTGAGTTTCCTCGTTTATTAGCAGGAGAGTCTGGCAGATGCTCCTAGGTATGTGACGAAGTGGACGTTCACCATGAGTCACTAAGCTAAATTTCTAATTGAAGGCTAAGAGTTGGGCTTTTAGAGTCACTGGGAGTGACCTCCGTCGGGCACATCAATCACTTTGGAGACGTCGCATGGGAAGCTGGCTGTGATCCTGAATGTTTCTGCAGAGGGAGGTGGATGGACTTTTCGTGTGTTGAGAGTTTCATAGAAAAAGGAGCCCTGCCTCATGGGCACTGATGCCTGTTCCAGGGAGAATACTTAGTGGGGGAACTGCTAACTGGACAGAGCTAGACTGTCCCGGCTCAGCACTGTTGGTCTAGGAAATTAAAGAGCTAATCAAAGACATCTGTGCATTTTGGATCCCAAGTGGGGTGTGCCTTTGGCCAAGCCTACCAAGAAGAAAGGGACCATCGCATCTCCAGAGCTGTGTTAGCCCATTAAGCACCTGCAAAGCCTGGAGCAAAATTCTCCATTAAACACCGACACCTGGTGGCGAAGCCAGGAACAGCACCAGCAGATTGACAGCCCAGTTCTTGACAGGTTTGTAATAGAAGGACCTTGCTCTGGGGACAATTTGAGGGGGCGATCCTGGATATGCTCATAATTAACTACAAAAGTTAAAAGATATATTCATATTCCATAATCAGTTTGGGGAACAGTCTATCCCATTTGCACGCAAATTCTCTTTTGAGCAGTATTTTGCCAACTAATTACTAGCCTTTGAGAATTTCTGCATAGGCTACTCTAACTACACATACGATTTGACAACAAGTTAGTGAGCTTCAAAAGCAAAACAAAAGACATCCAATTAAATGGATTTATCAATAAAACCAGAAAGAAATATTTTAAATATAGTTCCTCCTCAAATTCGATTACAGCATTTATTTTGAGTCCAGTAATAACAATCACTTAGACAGCAGCTGAATTAACATGGCATTATCTGTAAAAGCAAAGTGAGTCCTAAGCAAATGAATAAGCTCTCACAAGGAAAATGTTCCAAGTACCTAGGATGAATGTTTGAAAGCATTCTTAGGTTTGGTCATTTTCACATAAATCCTGTGCAAGTTTTTTTTTTGTTTGTTTTTAATGCAGTCAGTGAACTAAAAGACGCTTGCATTTCTGTTAATTCTTGATATTATGAGACAAAAATTTAAAATTTATCTGGAAGAATGAAATATTTAAAAGTTAAGAAAATTTTAGAAGAATCTTTTAAACAATAGGATACCAGATAAATTACAAACTATGTACTAGGATAAAACTAGGATTTAAACATTAATAACACAGCCCTAAGTTTTATGGTGTTTGAAGGCTATTGGAAAACATAAATAAGCAATTCGCTAGTGGATATTAAAACATTGAAAAAGGTACAACTTTCTAAAAAGTGTGGCACAGGTAACTTTGGTTAAAAAAAAACAGCAGACTTCAGAAACATATCCTACAATGTTATAGTTTAATATCTATCAAATGTTGGCATCTCTACTCAGTGAGACAAAATAATTCACCTGAGAAGTAGTGTTAGAGCAATTGGCTACACATGGTGGGAGAGAGGCTGGCAACCAGCGGCAGGCTTTATCTCCTGATGATCCCAGCTCTCTATGCATATTGATTACAGAGTTAAATGTTAGAAGTCAACCGTCAGGTTAATACATGTTTTAAAATTAACCTTTAGAAGGTAACGACTTTCCATCTTAAAGGGCAGTAGAAGAAATCCTTGGGAAAAGCATGCCACTGTTGGCATTTTAGAGCAGGTTTTTGATGTGGGGAGGGACTGTCTTGTGCCTTCTCGGATGTTTTGCAGTGTGCCTGGTCCCAACCCACCGGCTCCCTGCAGCATGGCCTCCTCCCCCAGCTATGAAAACCAAACATACATTCTAGACTCATCAGTTTCTCAGGAAGATCTTCGGGAGTTATGCCTAGGAGCACTTTGAATCTGTTTAACAAATTGGGAAGAACTGATATCTTGAAAACATTTTTTCTTCCAAACTGAATATAGTTTATCTTTCTATCCATTTAGATCTTCTCTAATTTATCTTAGAAATGTATTTAGAGTAATTTCTAGGATATCAATTTTTATGCTATATAAATTGGTAGGTTTTTTTAATAAGCCCACTTTTCAAATATTGGCTAGTACATAGAAATATAACTGATTTTTATCAGTAGAACCTATATTCCATGATCTCACTTGATTTGTTGTTTATTTTTAATAGACTTGAGAGGGTTTTCTACATATATATGTCTTCTCTAAATAATTACTGTTTTCTTTTTCACGTTTATGTTTCTATTTACTTTTCTTGCTTATTGCATTGCCTAGGACTTCCTGTACAATTATAAGTAAAAGTCATGAGAATAGGTATTCCTCTCTTGTTTCCAATATTATGGGGATATCATCCAATGTTTATAGTAAAGAAAGGTGCTAGCAACAGGTCTTTGAAGATTCCCTTTTCAAGATGATATTGGTTGCTAAGATGTTACCATCAATGAGTATTAAATGCTGCCAAAAGCTTTTTCTACACTTATTGAGATAATCTTTCTTTTATTCCTTTACTCTGTTAACATGGTGAATTATACTGATTAACTTTGAATGCAAAATAAACTTTGTATTTATTGGTTAACACCCATCTGCTCATGATGTACCATCATTCTTTAGAGAGCTTAATTCAATTTGTTGATTATTTCCAAAGAATTATTGTTTCTGTATTTGTGAATTTTCTTTCCTTAAAATTTTTACCCAGCTTTGGTATTAAGATTACTCTGGTCTCGTAAAACTAGTTGGGGGGTAATATATTTTCTGAATAATTTAGATAAGAAATTATAGATATATTTTT
The DNA here is from genome assembly GCF_000001405.40 of Homo sapiens. Classification (NCBI taxonomy): domain Eukaryota; kingdom Metazoa; phylum Chordata; class Mammalia; order Primates; family Hominidae; genus Homo; species Homo sapiens. The sequence continues at coordinate 985,082 of NT_187576.1, forward strand.
GTAAAATAAATTTTTCAGAATTCTTTCAACCATCCCATCGATTGTTTACATGACTCAGAAACTTTTGAAAATACGTAAATGAAGAATGCTTTACTCAGTATCCATTTTCCTTGAACATTGTATGACTAATTCACTTGGATACATTTTCTAGCTTTTCCTTTATATCAGCCTTGTGAAAAGGCAGGTAATGAATCGCTTATTCCGATTTTACAAAAAAGAAACTAAGGCAAAAAAAATTCTAAGTGACTAGATAGGCATTACCCAAAGACAACACCAAGAAGCAGCAGAAAGACATGGGGACTGGAAAATTGATATGGCATAATTTGGTTAGAGAATAAATACATGTTACTGGAATACAGGTTAAATTTTAGAAACAGCAGAAAACTATGGCCAGTCTACCTCTGGAAAAGTGGTGACAGGAATTC